>NC_000001.11:229517454-229668970 GCF_000001405.40 Homo sapiens
ACAAACATGTGAATTTAAAAAACATGTTTTCCTGTTCAAAAAATAAAGCTTCTGCCCTTTTAAAAACTTGTCAGGCTTTCATGTGCCAAAATGTTGAAAACTGCACATATTCAAACATAGTTCCCATAGGAACACATATTCCTCAGCTCTCACACCTTTGAAGACACAGGAGATGGGCAATATAAATGTTCCCTTCTTTCCAGCTGATGTTAAATAGTTAGGTTTGCTTCATGAGATTATCGGAATAAAGGGTTAAATTTTCAATTTCCATTATTCTATCTGTAAAATTAGACTTAAAAGTAGGTAGAATACTACCAGAAGAATTACACAGTGATTGGTAAACTGGCCTAAAATAATCAGGCTTTTTATTTATAATTGCCTTTTTAAAGTTGTCATTTGACAATAGCTTCAATCTTTAACAGCAGGCAAAAGAAAATGAGGTGCCATGCTATATTAATTAAAATATTCCACAAGAAAAGAAAATACAAAACCTGAAAATAACTTCAGTGCTATAGACATTTAAAAAGTTACAATTATTAAAACTCTGAATAAAAAGATCTTGAGAACAGGTACGTTTCAAAACAATCTTTTACACACTTTGGAAAAAAATAGGTATTTTTCAAATAACTTGATATATGGTTTATGTATTTCATAGTCTCTGAGTTTTTTTTCTGCAACACTGTTTTGCATTAAAGTCTCATATTGTTTACCAGTAATTGCTTCCTTATGCTGAAATAAAACTTTGTTTGTTCATTAGTTTTCTGTATATCCCATTTGGTTTTGAAAGCAGCTCTTCATGTTTTCCATATTCAGTAATTTTTCCTTGGTCAAGAACAGCAACCATATTAGCATTCTTAATGGTGGACAGACGATGGGCAATAACTAACACCGTTCTTCCATCCATCAGTCGATCTAGAGCTTCTTGAACAAGGTACTCATTTTCGGCATCCAGCGCACTGACACAGGAGCACACACACAAGAAAGCAAAGACGTCAGTGACACCCATGTGCTTCCTGATACACACAGCAGCCCTTCCTGAGCAATGAATTTTTACCATGATCAAAATTTCAACTGTTTAGGACTTTCTGATCTCCATAAAACTATACTGTGATGTAAGGAGAAAAGCATTCTGCACAGTTACAGCTTACAGAGTGATTAGGATTGATGGCAACCATGTCTGAAGTGGACCTAGAACTCTCAACTAGGACTCAGTCTGCCCACTGGTTTTCAACTGTCATTATTAATTCAGCTTCCCTCACTTTAGAGTAAAGGGGGGAAAAAGGATTTTCAGTTGTATCACTTTGAGGTACAGAATTAAAAGTGTTTTGGTGAAGGAAGAATTTGGTTTAATACACACAATGGCATATATTATTAAGATATCCTCACCTGGTTGCTTCATCTAGGAGAAGAATTTTGGGATTCTGAAGAAGGAAAAAAAAGGAAAAGATAAAATAATTTTATTGGAAAAATACAAACTCTCAGCAATAAAAAAGGAATAAAATTCTGACACATGCTACAATGTGGATGAGCCTTGGAAACTTATGCTAAGTGAAAGAAGCCAGACACAAAGAATCACATACTGTATGAGTTCACTTATATGAAATGTCCACAACAGGCACTTCTACAGATGGTGGATATCTGGGGCTGGGTTCAATGCAGGAAATAAGGAAGGGGAGTTGCATGGCTGCTAAAGAGTAGAGGGTCCCTGGGGGGGTGATGAAAATGTTTTCTAAAATTGTGATGATGGATGCACAACACAGAATACACTAAAAACCAATGAATTTATTTTTTAAATGGGCAAATTATGTAGTATGTGAATTATATCTCAAAGCTGTTACAAAAAAACCCCACAAATTACTAAGTGTCTGGGATAAGTACATAAATGAAAGAATTAGAGACTATTTTAAATGATCATCAGAGTAATCACTAGACCAGGTATCGTTCATAGCACAGTTTTATCCTGCCATCAGAGTAATCACTAGACCGGGTATCCTTTATAGCACAGTTTTATCCTGCTGGTCAGTGAGATGAGAATCTAAAATGAGTAAGATGGCCGGACGTGGTGGCTCACGACTGTAATCCCGGCAATTTGGGAGGCCGAGGCAGGTGGATCACCTGAGGTCAGGAGTTTGGGACTAGCCTGGCCAACATGGCAAAACCCCGTCTCTACTAAAAATACAAAAAAATTAGCTGGCCTGGTGGCACATGCCTGTAATCCCAGCTACTCTGGATGCTGAGGCAGGAGAATCGCTTGAACTCGGGAAGTGGAGGCTGCAGTGAGCCAAGCTCACACCACTGCACTCCAGCCTGGGCGACAGAGTGAGACTCTGTCTCAGAAAATAAATAAATAAAGTAAGTAAGTAAGTAAATAAATAAATAAAATGAGTAAGGCTGAGTACGGTGGCTCACACCTGTAATCCCAACACTCTGGCAGGCTGAGGGGGGAGGACTGCTTGAGCCCAGGAGTTCAAGACCAGCCTGGGCAAAATAGCAAGACCCCATCTCTACCAAAAAAATTTTTTTTTAAATTAGCTGGGTTTGGTATGGTATGCACCTATAGTCCTAGCTCCCTGGGAGGCTGAGACAGGTAGATTACTGAAGCCCAGGAGGTCAAGGCTACAAGTGAGCCATGATCACACCACTGCACTCCAGCCTGGGTGACAGAATGAGACCGTCACAAATTTAAAAATAAAATTAAATTAAAATTAAAAAGATATGTCTATAACTTTCAAGGTCCTGCTTATAGTTAATTTAGAAATAATAAACTAACTTTGGGAGGCCAAGGTGGGTGGATCACTTGAGGTCAGGAGTTCAAGACCAGCCTGGCGAACATGGTGAAACCCCACCTCTACTAAAAATACAAAAATCAGCCGGGTGTGGTGGCGTGCATCTGTGATCCCAGCTACTTGGGAGGCTGAGGCATGAGTATCACTTGCAACCTGGGAGGCAGAGTTTGCAATGCGCTGAGATCGACCACTGCACTCCAGCCTGGGTGATACAGCGAGACTCTGTCTCAAAAAAAAGAAAAAAAGAAAAAAGAAAAGCTAACACATGAGACCAAAAAAAAAAAAAAGAGACTAATCTGATGTAGATAAAACATTACAAGTCCAGCTTTGCAAATGAAAACACACACCCTCACAAAAAGGTAGCTACTATTCTTTATATATTATTCACAATAGCCCCAAACTGGAAATGACCCAAGCGTTTATCAGCTGGTGAACAGATCAACAAATAGGGATCCATCCATACTACTTAACAGTAGAAGGGAATAAAGTACTGATACAAACTACAAATTGGAGAAATCTCAAAAACACTCCACCTGTACTAAGTGAAAGAAGCTAGATGCCAAAAACCATATATCGTCTGATTCCATTTATCTGAAATGTCTGGAAAAGCAAATCTAGACAGACAGAAAGTAGATTCGTGGCATCCTGGGGCCGGAAACAAGGAACGACTGACTGCAAGTGGGCACAAGAGATCTTTTTAGGGTGACAGAAATGTTCTGAAACTGGACTTTGTGTGCAACCAACTCCGCAAATTTACTAAAAGTCACTGGAAAGTACATTTAAAATAAATGAATTTTATATATGTAAATTCTGCTTCAGTAAAGCTGCTTTTTTTTTTTAATCACCTATAAGCCTGAGAAGAACAGTTGTATAACAAAGGGAAGGCTATTGCTTCCTTAAAAAGAGAATGCCCGCCTTTCAGCTAAAATGGCTCTTCCCTTTCCTTCTAGGAATCTTGTCTAAGTACTTCAAGTCTGTACTATTCACTTTAGCAGCTGATTACAGATTGTACAAATATGCATACTTACGCTGTTTTATATTTTGCATTAATAATCACTGTTTCACTGGCTAGACTGTATGCTTCTTGATGGAGGGTCCATGTGTTAAATTCTTCTACCTCCAACAACCTTAGCACAGTACTGAGCTCATGATACCTAAGAAATACTTGTTAAATTTGGACAATATACTACACTAACTTACCTTTCACCAGAACTGTCACCCTCCCACTCCAAGAAAAAAAAAAAAACAAAAAACAGGAAAAGGAAGAAGACAAATAGTAAATTACAAATTACAAGGTCCCTAATAAAAATAATCCCTAATTTAAAAAACATCCAAGTCGCTTCAGGCTTACCTTTAGCAGAGCACGGGCAATCGCAATCCGCTGTTTCTGCCCACCTGACAAAGACAACATTTAAAAAAAGAAGGCCTCAACAAAAAATCTTAGTAATAGGCTTTTATGATAAACCATATAGCAATTTGAAGGCAAGCTTCTTCTAGTTAGTCATAGCTGACACAGATAGACCAGAAACCTATTTTAAAATATAGGTTTAAAATATATCAATCCCAAAATTAATAATTATTATCATAGCCAAAATGTATTGATGACTTCCTATATACCAAGTATTTTCTTTTCTTTCTGTTTTTGAGACAGGGCCTCACTCTGTCACCCATGCTGGAGTGCAGTGGCATGATCACGGCTCATTGCAGCCTCAATCTCCTGGGCTCAAGTGATCCTCCCACCTCAGCCTCCCAAGTAGCTGAGACTACAGGTGTGCACCAACACACCTGGCTAATTTTTGGTAAAGATGGGGTTTTGCCATGTTGCCCAGGCTGGTCTCAAGCTCCTGGGCTCAAGCAATCCGCCCACCTCAGCCTCCCAAAGTGCTGGGATTATAGGCGGGAGCCACAGTGCCCGGCCAATACCAGGCATTTTCTATATGCACTGCATGTATTATCTCATTTAATGTTTTTATTTTAAATAATTTCAAACAAGGTCTTGCTCTGTCACCCAGCTGGAGTGCAATGGCATGAACACGGCTCATTGCAGCTTCAACCTCCTGGACTCAAGTGATCCTCCTGCCTCAGCCTCCTGAGTAGCTGGGACCACAGGCCCATACCACCAAACCTGGCTAATTTTTAAAATTTTTTGGAGACATGGTCTTGCTCTGTTGCCCAGGCTGGTGTCAAACTCCTGGACTCAAGAGATCCTCCTGCCTTGGTCTCCCAAAGTGCTGAGATTGGGAGCCACTGTGTGAGCCACTGTGCCTGACTAATCTTTTTAAAAATCCTATGAGACAGACCCTATAATTATTCCCATTTTACAGATGATAAACTGAGATACAAAGTAGCATGTCCAGGATCTCATAGTTGGTAAGTAGTGGAACTGAGATCTGAACCTACACAGTGCAAGGGGTATGCTCTTAAAAGCATGTAAAGATCTATGCTGTTCATCACTACACATATTTCCTCCCTAGCAGAATATCCAATGTAGCAAGGAAACCAGAAACTCAAGATATTTGCAGTTTCCAAAGAACACTTGAAATGTCTGGGAGCAAAGGACATCAGTGGTGCTGAGACTGATAATTCTAATATTCCCACATTATAGCAATTCTTTTTTTATTTTTTTTGAGACAAGAGTCTTGCTCTGTCTTCCAGGTGGAGTACAGTAGTGCAATCATGGCTCACTGCAACCTCTCGCTCCTGGGCTCAAGTGATTCTCCTGCCTCAGCCTCCCCAGTACCTGGGACTACAGGCAGTGCCACCATGCCCGGCTAACATAGCACTTATTCTTTATGATGTTCTTTTTTTCCCCTCCTCTAGAGGAAAAAATAGTAATATGTGTGTATGTATGACACTGAAAATTACAGTAAGTCACTCTAATCCTGTCTTTTTAAGCTCAAATTCTACTAAAAGTGAGGGAACAAACTGGAAGTAGGTGTGGGAGAAGGTGGGATGGAGTGGAGTCAGCAGGATCTGTGTTGATTCCCTCCCTATCTTTGTCTCACCCCATCCTCCCTCCTTTCCTCCAGGAACGCTACTCCTAAGTCATACTTGGAAAGTCTCAGAGTGCTCACTCCTCCCAACTTACATTGTTTATAAAACCCAATTCCATTTTTGGGGATAAAAAACATTCCTTTTTGATTTTATTGGCTGAACATACTTATCAACAGTAGTTGCTGGACATCATTTTATTTCATATAAGAGAGGTTCATCCTCTACATCTGAGGTGTGTGGTGCTGCTAAATGCTGCTCTAAACAGGAAACCAGTGCACACAAGGAGGGCAGTGAGGAAAACCCTCTCCTGAGCCTCTGATTGGTGAGGCTGTCTGAGTGCCCTGAGGTAGGTCCTTAGAGCAGCCTGCTGATGGCTTAGGTCCCCTCTGAGTCATGTGTGGTGCCAATCAGTACCCTGGGAATCTATTACTAGGTGCTCTGTCTTCCTCCCAGAAAGCAAGAGCAGACTGGAACCTCTGGTTACTTCGCTGAGAAACGGAACTGGAGGATCCTACCAGAGGGAAGGACATGCAGAATCTGTGTCAAGGGAGGTGACGTGCTCTTAGGACAAGCCTCACACTTCAATGTTCAATAATTTCACCACGAGCAGTTTACACTGGTTTTCTGCCCCGTTTCTCAGATATGTTTCAGAGATGGAGTAGCAGTTCACTTTCACACAGCAGTCAGGAATTCTACTCCTGGAACATCTCAGATCTATCAAAGACGCCTTTTCATCTACTGCTTATATATATATATATATTTTAAATCATATACAATAAGCTTAAAACCCTTTTGTTTTATATTTTCTGTGGTCTAACTTCAAATGAAAAGTTTAGCATAGGAAAAGACTGTTGTTTTAGTCTAATCTGCCAGCCTTCACTGTCACAAAGAGGCAACCACCCTCTGCTCAAACAGAGACAAGTTTTTTGTTTTTTTTTTTAAGACAGAGGCTCACTCACTCTGTCATTAAGGGTGGAGTGCAGTGGTGCGATCCCAGCTCACTGCAACCTCTGCCTCGCTGGGCTCAAGCAGTACTCCTACCTCAGCCTCCCGAGTAGCTGGGACCATAAGTGCTCACCACCACACCTGGCTATTGTTTTGTATTTTTGGTAGAGAGGGGGTCTCACCATGTTGCCCAGGCTGGTCTCGAACTACTGAGCTCAAGCAATCAGCCTGTCTTGGCCTCCCAGAGTGCTAGGACTACAGGCATGAGCCACCATGCCCGGCCAGGAACTTGTTATCTTGCAAGGAAACATTTCAATATTTGTATTGAAAAAAAAAAGTGTTTAGCTGAACATTTATTTCTCTTAAAGTTCTACTCATTGGTTCATTTCTGCACTTTAAAGAAATACAAACTGAGTCTTCTCTCTCCTCAAAATATGGCAACCATAATGTGATCCAGAATGATAGGTGTGGTCTGACACCACAGGGAATCGCTCACTTTGCCTCACAGCCGTGAGTCTATTCAGCAAATTATGGCCCACAGGCCAGACCTGAACCATGGCATGTCTATGCACGGCCCTCAAGCTAAGAATGTGTTTTACATTTTTAAAGTTGCTTAAAAGCACACACACACAAAGAAGGATGTGTGACAGCCATCATATGTGACCCATAAAACCCACAATTTTTTTTTTTTTGGGACAGAGTCTCATTCTGTCTCCCAGGCTGGAGTGCAATGGCACAATCTTGGCTCACTGCAACCTCCGCCTCCTGAGTTCAAGCAATTCTCATGCCTCAGCCTCCCGAGTAGCTGGGATTACAGGTGCCCACCACCACGCCCAGCTAACTTTTTGTATCTTTAGTAGAGACAGGGTTTCACCATGTTCACCAGGCTAGTCTTGAACTCCTGATCTCAAGTGATCCACCTGCCTCGGCCTCCCAAAGTGCTGGGATTACAGGTGTGAGCCACCGTGCCTGGCCAAAACCCACAATATTTACTGTCTGGCTCTTTAAAGAAAAGTTTGTCAAACCCTGGTCTAGTATGTAGGGAGTAAATAATTCTTTCAATTTCAGCTTTGTTCCTGATGCACATTCCCTGACTCCCTGGGCAAATCATCCTGCCACTTCTTATTTTCTTTAATTTTTGAGGGTCTCAGGTTGCAAAGCACATTTGTTGTTGTTGTTGTTGTTGTTGTTTTTCAGATGAAAAAAAGCTTGCTGTGGCTGAGTACTACTCAGAATTTTTGGAACACATATGGGGTAGAAAGTGAAAGAAAACACTGGGGAATTTTCCACATATAAGAGAGCAAGTGGTAAGGCTAATTTCAAAAACTCTAAAGATGAAAACCTAATTAGAAAATAATACTGCAATATAGAAACATGTGGGCTGGGCACGGTGGCTCACGCCTGTAATCCCAGCACTTTGCGAGGCCAAGGTGGGCGGATCACGAGGTCAGGAGATCAAGACTATCCTGGCTAACACGGTGAAACCCTGTCTCTACTAAAAAATTAGCTGGACGTGGTGGCAGGCACCTGTGGTCCCAGCTACTCGGGAGGCTGAGGCAGGAGAATGGCATGAACCCAGGAGGAGGAGCTTGCAGAGAGCCGAGATTGCGCCACTGCCACTGCACTCCAGCCTGGGTGACAGAGCAAGACTCAAGACTCCGTCTCAAAAACAAAACAAACAAACAAAAAAAACAAGAAACATGTGAAAAGTTCTTTGGATATAGAGACTTTGCTACAAAGCAGTAAAGAAATGCACCTGAGAGGAGAACACCCTTTTCTCCAACCACAGTGTTGAACCCTTGGGGGAAATTCCGGATGAAGGCCACTGCATTGGCCACTTCAGCCACTCTCTGGATTTCCTCAGCGGTCACAGAGGAAGGGTCATCAGCACCATAAGCAATGTTCTCAGCAATAGAGCAAGAAAACAAAATGGGTTCCTACAAATTGGAAATAAAACATATCACGAATTTCAAACAGACTTAAAACATGTCTAATAAATTTAGACCTAGCAGTCTTTTTTAAAATTTATGTTTTGCCATGAACAGGATTTTATCATCTGTAGTTCTCACCATGCTGCAAGCAATGAGACCTCACAGCAGGTGCCCGCAAGGCACCTGGCACATGGTAGGAACTTTGTAAATGTCAGTCCCCTGCCTTAGGAATCAGGAGGCACCAGGAGACCCCAAGTCCACCTGCATTTTCCAGCTGCCTGCCTTCCACTCAGGACAAAGCGGGGAATCCATCTCCATCCATTACTTTTTGAAATACACACAAACCACATGGGAACAAACAATTCTGACAGAACCCTATGGAGTAGTCCTAAAAAATAAGCAAACTTCCAGGCTCTTTTCTCCATCCCTAATCATATACACCACTGATGTCCCTACACTCCTGAGCACCCATCACCATCCACCTGCCCTCACCCAAGTGGAGTGGGGAGAGGATGAGCTAATCACAAAGAGAGGTTCAGAAATGGGGGGAGGCTCAGGTTTGTATGCTGTGTGCACAGCCTGGTAATAAAAATTAAAACAGCTGCAGCAACATTTCCCTGCCCCAAAGGGTCTTGTGAAAATGGCCTTATCAAAGTGACCACATTACATTAACACTCTGCTTTGAAATCTGCAACTTCTTTGCAAGGAGGACTCTGGCTCTTGCCATAGTCTTTGCTCACTTTTCCCTGAAACTCATTATGCAGAATAGTAGACTGTGGCTGGTGATGAAAATGGGAAGTGGGGAAGAATCAGTAAAAGCTAAAAAAGAGTCAATAAAATCTTCTATCATTTCCTCCCCATCCTCTAGACTATCTAGTAATGGTAGTCTCCAGCTTTCAATAAAAAGTCAATGCTTCACCCTTGCTCAAACATTTAGGGTTTTCAGGAAACAGCGCTACTTGCAAACCTAAACAACCTGCCATGTGAGATGAGCTTAATACATCCCAAAGACTTCCATTCCTTCTCTCTTGAGAAGTTCGAGACAAAAAAAAAAAAAAGCAAAAGACAAAAGTAATTTTAAAAGAAAGTGAAATAGAAATGGAAGCCTCTCTTCTTACCTGACTCACTGTCCCAATTTTGGATCTCAGCCACACTGGGTTTAGCTGACGGATGTCATGGCCATCAAGACTAATAGTTCCTTGTTGAGAGGAAAGGAAAGGAAAGAGTCACTGAGTGTGATGAGGCTGATGACCAACACAGAAAGGATCCGGTGGGAAAATTCCAGACTCATTTTTTAAAGATCAAAATGTACTGAAAATCTCCAGATGGACTCTAAAACTAACATATTTCATGAAATTTCAGAGCTAAAAGGGACTTTCTGGATTGTCCAAGTTATTGTCTCCCGATAGTAGCTGGATGACTATCTCACCGAGTCCATCTGTCCAGCTTGCCTTCCTGTACTCCGGAGGTTGTAGGGAGTTTTCCCAAAACTCCCTAGTGACTTAGGATTCCACCGATAAGATGCACTTGTGCAAAGCTTTAATTCAGAAGGGAGGGGCAAGCCATGAGGCATCCACTTGCTGGCACGAATACTGGCAGAGGTGGCACAGCTCTGAAGCTGGCATTCATGACAGCAACTGCCTAAATTTGTAGCTTCCTGACCATGCCAGTGTCAGCAGCTACCTTGAAGGCCTGGTTCTGGGGTGGAGTTCTGCAAACTGTCCTGGAAGTACAATCTAGAATCTATTTTGTCATTCCTGCCAGTGATTTTTGAGCTCTTTTATTACTCCTTAAAATATCCCTTTCTGTAATAAGCTTAGTTGGTGAGGAATCTGTTGTCTGCAACTAAGAATCTGGTCGATACCATGGCAGAGCTTTTAAATAATCAGACGCTATCTTTATGACTTTTGCTAACAGAATTCTTCACATTGAGGGTGCTCAACAAAACTTGGTGATGATGACAACAGTGACAGCATAAGAAATGCCATTTCTTCTCAGTTAATGTTGTGGAATTATAGAAGCCAGCTGGAAATGTTCACAAACTGGCAAAAACTTGAGGTCTTTGACGAAAAAGCACAAAGCTCTTTATAGACTACACATGGCAGACATTTAACTGCAGTTTGCTTTGTCCTGGATTTATTCATTGTGATGAAGAAACTAGAGACTCAGTATTTTTACTTGAATTACAGCAACCTAAATAGGATTTTTTTTGGTCTTTTTTTTTTTTCCTTTTTATGGAGAACAAGGTCTCACTATATTGCCCAAGCAGGTCTCAAACTCCCGGGCTCAAGCTATCCTCCCACCTCTGCCTCCCTAAGAGCTGAGATTACAGGTGTGAACTACTGTGCCCAGCTAACTAGGATTTTTTTAAACTCCAAATTTTATAGCAAGTGAATGGTGAATCAAGAAAGTGATTCCAGAGACAAACAATGTAGTAAGCCCCATTTTAACACAGGTGGTGATTCCATGGGTCAGGATTTGCAAGTCACATATTTATCTGACATGTAACCAGCTCTCACATTGTTTTAACCAAAAAGCATAAGCACAAAGACACAAAACATTCATTTTTTAAATTACAGAATTTTTTTTTTTTAATAAATAGTGACAGGGTCTCACTATGTTACCCGGGCTGGTCTCCAACTTGTGGCCTCAAGTGATCCTCCCACCTCAGCCTCCCAAAGTGTTGCAATTACAGGTGTGGGGCTCCACATCTGGCCAAAATATTCTTTCTAAATTCATGATTTGATTTTTACTAAGAGTTGTTTGCTTGCTGACATTGTTGTCTACTACAGGGAAGATAGAAGTAAAATCATGTGCTCTTTGCTCTTAAAGATGTTATAATCCAGTTAAAAATAAAATAAAAACTAGAATGAGAAAAATCATCCATTAAGAAAATCCCGGCTGGGCGCGGTGGCTCACGCCTGTAATCCCAGCACTCTGGGGGACTGAGGAGGGTGGATCACGAGGTCAGGAGATCGAGACCATCCTGGCTAACACGGTGAAACCCCATCTCTACTAAAAATACAAAAAAAATTAGCCGGGCATGGTGGCAGGCGCCTGTGGTCCCAGCTACTCGGGAGGCTGAGGCAGGAGAATGGCGTGAACCCGGGAGGCGGAGCTTGCAGCAGTGAGCTGAGATCGTGCCACTGCACTCCAGCCTGGGCAACAGAGCAAGACTCCGTCTCAAAAAAAAAAAAAAAAAAAAAAAAAAAAAAAAAAGAAAATCCCTACTAGGTCAAAATAGTTTCAATGGAACAGTCACATAGAAGTTAATCACTGGCCAGGCACGGTGGCTCACACCTGTAATCCCAGCACTTTGGGAGGCCAAGGCGGGTGGATCACGAGGTCAGGAGATCGAGACCATCCTGGCTAACACGGTGAAACCCCAACTCTATTAAAAATACAAAAAATTAGCTGGGCGTGGTGGCAGGCACCTGTAGTCCCAGCTACTCGGGAGGCTGAGGCAGGAGAATGGCGGGAACCCAGGAGGCAGAGCTTGCAGTGAGCTGAGATCGCGCCACTGCACTCCAGCCTGGGCGACAGAGCAAGACTGTCTCAAAAAAAAAAAAAAAAAAAAAAAAAAGAAGTGAATCACTGATGGCCAAGTTAACTGTGTGCACAATAAGCATTCAATGGCTCACAGGCAGAGGCAGAGGTTCTCCAGGAGCTCCCTATCACTCCTGCGCCCAGCACGCGCACTGGCACACGGTGGTTCTCCAGGGTGCTGCTGGAGCACCCCAGGCACTCTGTCCTGGCTGCTGAGCACAGCCTCGTCCACCTGCTCCCAGTAGAGGGCATGTCCAGAGGAGATACCCGCATGGGAGATGAGGAGGTAGATCTGGGGAAGTCACTCTGGGCTTGAAGAGGTAGGACACATTACACACAAAAAGCTCTAAAGGCCTCTGTATGAGCTGTCATGCCCCTGCAAATGACACCTTCTGTTTGAGGGATTTCTTTCCACTGGCACTTAGAAAAGAAGGTACTCTACAAAATAAGGTATTTGCATGGTTTGAGCATCTCCTAGGGCGCAAAAGTGGGAGCAGAGCTCGGGAGAGTCCCTCGGTGCTACAGTGTGGTGAACTGCTTACCAGAAGCAGGGTCGTACAACCTCAGCAGGAGTGAAAGCACTGTTGATTTGCCAGAACCACTTGGGCCAACCAGTGCCGTGACAGATCCTGACGGAATGGAAAGGCTGAAATCCTGAAATATGGGCACCTCTGGGCGAGCTGGATAGGCAAAATGCACGTTCTTAAACTCCAAAGCACCCTGGAAGCTTTTCTCATTTAAGATGACCCCCTCTGAAACATAAAATGGAATATTAATTACTTACAGCAAAAAATTAAACTCAAAAGCTGAACTCGGTTCTCCTACTCATCTGGCTATGGATGGGTGACTCCACCACAGCTAATCCTGGTATATGAGCTCTTAAAGGGCAAGTCAGAAGCAAACCTAGGCTAAATGCTTACCACGTGCCAACTCTGCACCTACTATGTCCAAGGTACTATATACGTAGACGGTCTTACTTGATCCTTACAACCCTGAGAGGTAGAAATTATAATTCCAATTTTGCTGATGAGGACATTGAAGACCACAGACAACAACCTGCTTAAGCTAACAAGTAGTGGAGTTAAGATCCACCCTTGTTAGTCTGGTTTCAAATCCGATGGCCTTCTCTCTATGCCACTGCCTCTGTGTAGCTCCAGAGTTTATCTTACCTACCCGGAATAAATATTTTGGAAGAGTTATGATGAAACGGGGAGCGCTGCACAGCAGCCGCAGAACTGGAGGGGTCAGAGGTCTGTTCTGCCCTGGTGTTCACCTACTGTGCTTTGGGAGACACTACTGAAACTCTCTCAGCTGGACCTATTTCCTAGGCCTATCACATTGGAGAATATTGGGCTTTCATTTATGGACCTGGGGCTACCTGACAATGTCCTAGGAAGTCAATAAGCAGCTGGGAGTGGTTACTACTCATAGCCATTTCTCCTGATTCCTGGCTAGTTGGTTTAGGCCCTACAGCTCCAGGGAAGTCACTGATAAGGAAGGAGATGGCTCCAGCCAATGAGTACCAGCCTCCCCTACCCCACACCAAAATGCCAAGAAACTTAGATATTTTCTTATGTCTGATTCCTCCTCCCTTATTCCCACCCTAGCCCTCCACAGAGATGTCAGAATCACTAGGGAAGATCAATTTGGTAAACTAGCTGGGACACAGCCCTGGGCCACACTGACTTCCATCCTGCCCTTTGCGGTAACACCCAGATGGAGGGAGGGGAACAGAGGGCAGCACACTATGTGGCCAGCCCATGCATCCAGGGACACCCTGGCCCACAACAGTGCCCCAGCAGCTGTCCCACCCCCTCTCATAGAAAACCTGACCACCTCCTCACCCGGCCCGCCATGCAGCAGGAGCCACATCCTTACTGTGGCTCATCCCTCACTCCCTTGCAGACAGGGGAAGAGCTGGTCTCATTGTTCAAAGCCACATTTGTTAATCCTAGCAAAGAAACAATTTTCAGACCCACCGTTAAAAGGCAGCTTGGGCTCTCTCTCCAGGAGCTCCCAGAGGCGCCCCCCTGCACCCAGTCCTTTCATCAGCTCCGAGTAGAAAGAGCTCAGACCTGAGGATGAGAAGCAGAATCCACACACATGTCCATCACTGGCACTGGCACTGGCCACCACTCCTCTGAGAGGAGTGACAATGATTGCTTTTAATATAAAATCTGTTATTAATATTTTCAAAAAACAACTTGAGGCAGCTTCCTGGGAACTGATACTCAGAATTGCTTGTCTCATACTCTAGTTTTCCTTTGGCTTCTCCTCCTCCAGTTTCATAGTTTTTTTTTTTTTTTTTTTTTTTGAGACAGATCATCACTCTGTCACCCAGGCTGGAGTGCACTGGCACAATCTCAGCTCACTGCAATCTCCATCTCCCCAGTTCAAGTGATTCTCCTGCCTTAGCCTCCCGAGTAGCTGGGATTACAGGCGCAAGCCACCAGGCCTGGCTAATTTTTTTATTTTTAGTAGAGATGGGGTTTCGCATGTTGGCAAGGCTGCTCTCAAACTCCTGACCTTAGGTGATCCACCCGCCTCAGCCTCCCAAAGTGTGGGATTATAGGCATGGGCCACTGCACCTGGCCACATTTCACTGATTTCTAATAAGGACTTAATGTTTGATCAGGGATTGAAAAACATATATAGTCATACTCATCAACCACTGGATTAAAATCATAATGCCGCAGAGGAAATCTACCTAGTTAAAAGCATTGTAATTTAACTGAAATGTAATGCTATCTCATAATTTAAAAAAATATAAAATACTTCAATGTTGATTTTAAAGACAAATCCACAAAATAATACCTCACCTTCAGCCACTCAATAAATACAACTTTGATACGCTACTCACATACTCCCATATACTTCAAGTAATCTCTAGATTACTTATAATACCTCATACAATGTAATGCTATGTTTAAAAAAAAAAAAAGGGCCAGGCAAAATGGTTCATGGCTGTAATCTCAACACTTTGGGAGGCCAAGGTGGGAGGATTGCTAGAGCCCAGGAGTTCAACATCAGCCTGGGCAACATAGAGAGAACCCTGTTTCTACAAAAAATAACTGTAAGGCCAGGCCTGGTAGCATGTGCCTATATTCCTAATTACTTGGGAGGCTGAGGCAGGAGGATTGCTTGAGTCCAAGAGGTTAAGGCTGCAATGAGGTATTACTGCACCACTGCACTCTGGCAGCACTCAGAGCAACAGAGCGAGACCCTGTCTCAAAACAAAAAACAACAACAACAAAACTTTCACAGTAGTAAAAACTGAAATAAATTTGGTTAATGTTAAACATTCCAGCAATCTCTTTATTTTTATTTTTTTGTGGAGACAGGGTCTCACTATGTTCCCTAGACTGGTCTTAAACTCCTGGGCTCAAGCAATCCTCCTGCCTTGGCCTCCCAAAGTGCTGGAATTACAAGTGTGTGTCACCGTCCCTGGTCTCTAGCCATCCCTTTTTAAAGTCAGCTTTGAACCATTATTATTATTTTTTTTTGAGACGGAGTCTTGCTCTGCTGTGGTGTAGTATCTATCACTGAACCTCTGCCTCCCAGGTTCAAGCAATTCTCCCTGCCTCAGCCTCCCGAGTAGCTGGGATTACAGGTGCCCCCCACCATGCCTGGCTAATCTTTGTATTTTTAGTAGAGATGGGGTTTCACCATGTTGGCCAGGCTGGTCTCCAACTCCCAACCTCAAGTGATGTACCCACCTCAGCCTCCCAAAGTGCTGGGATTATAGGTGTAAGCCACCATGCCTAGCCTGAACCATTTAACAACTTAAACCCCAAATGCAATGGTCTACATCAAATGTGAGGACATACATTTGTAACATTTTCCCTCAGTGAGGATGCTGAAAAAATACAATTCAAATATTCTACAGTATGAATATTTATGCAAGATACAATGGACTAAAATTTTTAGGCTGAATTAAAAATGCATTTGGCAAAAATAGACCCCCATAAACAGTCAACTGATTTTTGACACAGAAGCAAACGCAATACAATGGAGATGCAACGGCAATATACATATTATCTTTTTAACAAATGGTTCTAGAACAACTGAATATCCACATGCAAAGAAGGAATCTAGACACAGACCTTACACCTTTCCCAAAAACTAATGTAGAGTGAATTACAGACCTAATGTAAAACACAAAACAATAAACTCCTAGAAGGCAACCTAGGAGCAAGTGTAGATGACCTTGAATTTGGTGATGACTTTTTAGATACAATACCAAAGGTACAATCCATGAAAGAAAGAAGCTGGACTTCATTAAAATTAAAAATGTATGCTTTGCAAAAGACAATGTGAAAAGAAGAGGACCAGCCACAAACTGGAAGAAAATATCTGTAAAAGACCTATCCAATAAAGGATTGCTACCCAAAATATACGAAGAACTCTTAAAACTCAACAATACGGAAACATGAAGACTTACTTAAAAATGGTCAAAAGTCCTGAACAGACAACTCACCAGAGAAAATATACAGAGAGCAAATAAGCATATGAACAGACGCTCAACATCATATGTCATCAGGGAAATGCCAACTAAAACAACAATGAAATACCATGCATCTATCAGAATGGCTAAAAGCTAGAACACTGACGCCACTAAATGCTGGGGTGGATGTGGAGCAACAAGAACTCTCATTCCTTGCTAGTGGGGATGCAAATGGGACACACATTTTGGAAGGCAGTTTGGGAGTTTCTTACAAAACTAAAATTTTTTTTGTAAGAAAAAAATTCATTCGGTCACCATAGAGATGTCAAAAATTGCCAATGCTGGCCGGGTGCGGTGGCTCACACCTGTAATCCCAGCACTTTGGGAGGCCAAGGTGGGCAGATCACTTGAGGCCAGGAGTTCAAGACCAGCCTGGCCAACAGGGTGAAACCCTGTCTCTACTAAAAAAAAAAATACAAAAATTAGGCCAGGCGTGGATGGCTCATGCCTGTAATCCCAGGACTTTGGGAGGCCGAGGCAGGTGGATCACCTGAGGTCAGGAGTTCAAGATCAGCCTGGCCAACATGGTGAAACCCCGTCTCTACTAAAAATACAAAAAAAATAGCTGGACGCAGTGGCACGCACCCGTAGTCCCAGCTACTCGGGAGGCTGAGGCTGGAGAATCGCTTGAACCTGGGGGGGTGGAGGTTGCAGTGAGCCAAGACCGCGCCACTGCACTCCAGCCTGGGTGACAGAGCAAGACTCCATCTCAAAAAAAAAAAAAAAAAAAAAGGCCAAGCATGGTGGCGGATGCCTGTAATCCCAGCTCTTTGGGAGGCTGAGGCACAAGAATTGCTTGAGCCCGGGAGGTGGAGGTTGCAGTGAGCTGAGATGATGCCACTGCACTCCAGCCTGGGCAACAGAATGAGACTCCCTTTAAAAAAAAAAAAAAAAAAAAAAAAAAAAAACCTTGCCAATGCTGACTACATTGCAAGTCATCACAGAAGGGTATCGAGAAAAGTTTTCAATTGGCAATAATCACGCCTCGGATAAACCTCACTGCCTATGATACTGCCACTGTGCTAAGCTAAACATATTCTTACCATCCAATCAAGCGGTTATACTCCTTGGTATTTACCTAAATGAGCTGAAAACTCCTATCTACACAAAAACCTACACATGGATGTTTATAGCAGCTTTATTCATCATTGCCAAAACTTAGAAGCAGCCAAGTGCCCTTTAGTAGGTGAATGAATAAACTGTTGTACATCCACACAATGGAATATTATTCAGTGCTAAAAATAAATGAGCTATCAAGCCATAAAAAGACATGGAGAAACCTTAAATGCATATTTCTGTGAAAAGAGCCAATCAAATGCTACATACTGCAAGATTACAAATATATGACATTCTAGAAAAGGCATAACCATGGAAACAGTAGGTTGCAGAAGGGTGATGAATAAGCAGAGCTCAGAGGATCTTTGAGGCAGTAAAACTACTCTGTATGATACAGGAATGTTGGATACATGTCATTTTGCATTTGTCCAAACCCATAGAATGTACAACACCAAGAGTGAACCCTAATGTAAACTGTGGACTTTGGGTGTAATGCTGTGTCAATGTAGGCTCTTTTTTTTTTTTTTGAGACAGAGTCTCACTCTGTCACCCAGGCTGGAGTGCAGTGGCACAATCCCAGCTCGCTGCAACCTCCACCTCCCAGGTTCAAGCAATTCTCCTGTCTCAGTCTCCCGAGTAGCTGGGATTACGGGCATGAACCAGCACACCCAGCTAATTTTTGTATTTTTAGTAGAGACAGGGTTTTGCCATGTTGGCCAGGCTGGTCTCGAACTCCTGGTCTCAAGTGATCTGCCCGCCTCAGCCTCGCAAAGTGCTGGGATTACAGGAGTGAGCCACTGCGCCCAGCTGTAGGTTCATTAATTGCATCAAATGTACCACTCTGCGGGGGATGTTAATAGGGAGGCTGTGCATGTATGGGGGCAGGGGTATACACCCCTATCTCCACACAATTTTGCTATGAACGTAAAACTACTTTGAAAATGGTATTAATTTTTAAAAAGAAGGGAGTGAGGGAAAAAAGAAAGAAGAAAAAAAAAGTAAGGCTGGGCATGGTGGTGCACACCTATAATCCCAGCACTTTGGGAGGCCGAGGCAGGAGGATCACTTGAGCCCAGGAGTTTGAGACCAGCCTGGGCAACACAACATAGCAAGACCCTGTCTCTCCAAAAAATAAAAATAATTACCTGAATATGGTTGTGTATGCCTGCAGTCCTAGCTACTCAGGAGGCTGAGGCGGAAGGATCACTTGAGCCCAGGAGGTCGAGGCTGCAGTGAGCTAGGATTGTGCTACTGCACTCCTGCCTGGAGACAGAGTAAGACCCTGTCTCTAAAACAAAACAAAACAAAAAAGAAGTAAAGGTAAAGAGTCAAAAGTAGTTTAACATAGTTAAGAGCTTTGACTCTGAACAACAAAAGCACAATGGCCCTGGAAAAATAAAATGCAATCTCTCGCTATAATGAAATATTATTCAACCATAAAAAGGAATGACATACTAGCCCAGTTGCGGTGGCTCATGCCTGTCATCCCAGCACTCTGGGAAGCAGAGGCAGGCAGATTGCTTGAGCCCAGAAGTTCAAGACCAGCCTGGGAAACATGTCGAAACTCTGTCTCTACAAAAACTACAAAAACTAGCCAGGCATGGTGGCGCATGCCTGTAAGTCTCAGCTACTCAGGGGGCTGAGGTGAGAGGACTGCTTGAGCCCAGGAGGTCAAGGCTGCCCTACTGCACTCCAGCCTGGGTGACAGAGCAAGCCCCTGTCTCAGGAAAAAAGAAAAGAAAAAAAAAAAAAGGAATGAAGTACTGATACCTGCTACAATATAGATGAACTTTGAAAATATTATGCTAAGTGTAAGAAGCCAGGCACAGGAGGACATATATTGTATGATTCCTTTTATATGAAATAGCTACAATAGGTAAATACATAGAGACAGAAAGCAAACTTTGGTTGCCAGGAGCTGGCAGGAGGAAGTAAAGTAGATAGACTGCTTAATGAATATTGGTTTTCTTTTAGGTGATGAAATGGTTTGGGAACTAGATGGAGGTAGTGGTTGCACAGCATTATGAATGTACTAAACACCACTGAATTGTAAACTTGAAAATGGTTAGGTTTTGCTTTTCTTCATACAGTACTTCTGACTTCATCTTAGCAGAGAATGTACTTAGAATCATTGGGGTTTTTACCCCTAGTATGTCTTTCTAGGCAGAAACCAAAATAAAAATTCTTATTTAATAAATAAAATAGAATTTCTTGCTTTGTAGATTATAGAATCATTTTAGACAGCGATTCTATAAAAGTATAAAATTACTTTAAAAACATAAAAGCATGGCTGGGTGCAGTGGCTCACACCTGTAATCCTAGCAATTTGGGAGGCTGAGGCGGGCGGATTGCCTGAGCTCAGGAGTTCAAGACTAGCCTGGGCAACATGGTGAAACCCCGTCTCTATTAAAAAAATCCAAAAAATTAGCCAGGTGTGGCAGCACGTGCCTGTAGTCCCAGCTACTTGGAAGGCTGAGGCAGGAGAACTGCTTCAACCCGGGAGGCGGGGGTTGCAGTGAGCCGACATCATGCCACCACACTCCAGCTTGGGCGACAGAGCAAGACTCCATCTCCAAATAAATAAACAAACAAACAAACAAACAAACATAAAAGCACTTAAAATCTAATTTAAGTTGTTGGGCATTGGTGGTTCAGTGGTAGAATTCTCACCTGCTAATTCAAGTTGTTGGATTAAATTCCTATCACCTTAGGCATCTATGTTATAAATGTGGAAGAACTGGTGGCAACAGATGTACACTGACCTACCCATATTTTCTCTTATCCCTCCTCGCACCAGATGGCAGATCCTGAACAAGACAGTTGACCAGAGTTGTGGGCTAGCCTGTGGTTAAGAAAGCCAAATTACCCAATCTCTGCACGCAGACAAAGCCTTAGCAGCACCTCCCATAACCAGTGGTGGTAACTGACTATAGCAATGGATTAGAACTGTGTTTTCCAACCCATTCTGTGGAAGGCACAGTTGTGAATTTGTCCGTTGTGAACAGAGAGGGCAATAGAACAACCACAAACAGAAATAACGTCTATCATGCCAAATGATTCAGAGGAGGGAAGAGGAGGGGCTGAGAAAGATCATGTCTAGCATGGCAGAAAACATTAAGATGAGGGGAGGCCAGGGAGGAAACCTGGAACGTGAACAGAAAGGCCAGGGAGAGGGGAAGTAGGGTAGGTAGTCCACTTGAAGGAGGACAGAAGACCTAGGGGAACAGGACCACAACAGGGTGTGAAACCTCCAGCCCAGCAGGCTCAATCCAGGAAACGGAGAGGGAAGAGCTACATACTGTCTGTGGGTCCTCCTGAACCGGTCCACCTTCTCGTTTCCCAAACCAGCCAGCACCCCAAAACATCTTAAAATCAGTTTTTATTTAAGACCAGCCAGCAGAACTAAAATGCTTTTTTCAGGGGTCTCTGAAAATCTCATTCCAGAAAAAAATCCTCACTTGCCTGCAGATGTCTACGGAAATGCCTCTACCTTCAACAATTAGACAGATACAAAACCCTGAAAATAAAACTCTCTGGTTGAGGCAACACCATAGGATACCTGATAATGTTCCATTAATCAGACCTTAAGCTACTTACCTGACCTTTCCATCTTGATTTTCAAAGACAAGAAGGGAAACAAAAACCAGGAAATCATTTGTCCCAAGTTGACTGGGGATGCATTCCTGTTTTCCTTTATCCGGGAATGAAAAATAAAAGCTGAACTCTCACAGATTCTTAATAAAAGCAGGCAACTCTGTTTCATACACTTGATAATTTATAAATATTTTTTGATTGCTCATTAATTTTGAATATGGTCGACTTTGTGCAAAAGGAATTTTATTCTCCACTGATTTGCCAATCACGAAACCATGACTAACACAGGACTATGGGTTTCTGTGTCCACACTTGCTCAGCGCCGCCCTCCTCCTGCCTGCACCTGTGAGCAAGTGAACAAATGGTCTGAAGACACAGGCTGGGAAATAACCACTCCAGAGCGATGCTGAGCTATAAGAGGCCTGCAAAGATCCCCAAACTTCCCAACCAAGGAGCTGTTTGCTCACCTGCTGGGGAGGGTCACACTCATTTTACTTCTTTAAAAGCCCAGTTGGAATAATAACATTCTAGGAAATGCTTTTTCAGTGGAAGTTAATTGAAGTAATGTGAAAGTTCAGTTTCTCTTTCAGAAATGATGCTCTGATTTTTAATTTGTAACACCCCAAGCCTATTTAAATTATTTACCTCCAATGCTTATTCCAACCCAGAAAGCATACATTAGGAAGGAAGAGAGTTCACCCACGGTCATGTGGGCACTGCCCATCAGCAGCCCTCCTTTGTACAGGACAGAAAGCACGATCAGGTTTCCGGAGAGCCCAGTCTGTCGAATGAAGAAAACACAGAAGTCAGGTGGGAATCAAGGACCCAGAATGTGAAAAGCATGAACACGGCCTGTAATGTCCCTTTTTCATTCAACTGTCACAGCAAGATTTTTCCAAAATATTAATTTCACCTGAGTTTCAAATTAAAAATGGTTTTGTAATATTGCAATAATGAAGAAAACAATCTCATCACCATGAAAACCTATAAGCTAAGTCTCCCATCAGATCCTGATTTTATCCCATCTACTCAGTTTGCAAAAGATAAAAGTAATATTAAAGGTTCCTTCCCTAACTAGAGGAAACAAATAAATATCTACTGTATAGGTTTATATAATATA
This sequence comes from Homo sapiens, assembly GCF_000001405.40. Classification (NCBI taxonomy): domain Eukaryota; kingdom Metazoa; phylum Chordata; class Mammalia; order Primates; family Hominidae; genus Homo; species Homo sapiens. Next base: position 229,539,931 of record NC_000001.11, read on the forward strand.
ATCAGATGTTCTGGGCAAGGACACCAGCCTGAGGAGCTGGACTCCTGTATGTATGGCCTGCTTTTACCATGGTTACGTGTGTGGTTGTCTTAGGTATAGGGGAGGCCTTCTCCGGGCCACTGCTCCTTATCTGTTAATCATAGCAATGACGGAATTGCCTCTGAAGTTCTTTTCAGTTTACACATATCTGGAATTTGCCCTCATGGTGATTTTCTATTTCAGTGTCCTATTTGAGTGCATTGTGATTGATTTTTTGTACTTGTTTCTTGAAACACACTGAGGTGATTTTGGTTAATCCTTAGACTTTGCTGGCATCAGAATGACCTGGAAGGCCTGTTAAACAGATTGCTGGCCCCAGTTTCCTACCCAGCAGACCTGGGGTGGAGCTGAGTCTTGGTGAGGCAGACCAGTGCTCAGGCAAAGCTGATGCCGCTGGCCTGCACCGCACAAAGAATCAGTGCCCGATCACACCATGCACTGACTTTTCTCTAAGGACATTTACTTGTTTCTTCCTTTTTCACAAAAATATTTTAAAGAAAGTCATTCTTGGCCTTGAAATTAAGACTAAAATTTTAAAAATTAAAATTATTTTCTACTTATGCTGAGCACCACAGAATAAAACTCTCACCATTCTAACATTTGCCAATTTTACTTTTTCCAAAGTGATCTACTTACTGCTCCAAAGAAACCAGCCCGGGCGAATGCCTCTTTCCTTGCTAACTGCATTACATGGTCCACTTTGCTGGCATATTTCTCGATTTCAGTCATTTCTTTCCCAAAAGCTCGAACAGTTCTTACATTTCCAATACGTTCCTCAGCTAGCTGGGAGAATAATAAATACATTTCAGGAGGAGAAGGGTCATATTTCAAGAGCTTCTAAGAAGGAAAAATAAAATGTGGTTCTCATTTTGTTATTCATTAGAAAGAAAAGAAAAGAAATAGTGATAGTAAGAAGTGAGAACTCCACAAAAGACACTATCAATGGAAAGCCACTCTTGATACATGACTAAGTCAAAAAAGAGTGACAAAGCAGAGTATACAAAACAATCCTAGTTGTGGGGGAAAAAAATCTATACCTAAACATATCAGAAAAACATAGAGGCAGAAAAACAGGAGTATATGTAGATGCAGAAATGCATTTTTATGCAGAGAAAAAGACAGACTCCAAAATGTTAATAATGTTAATTCGAAAAGACAGGATTATGCGTGTTTTTGTTTTCTCTCTTTATATTTTCAAATTTTTCAACAATAAACATGCATGGTTTTTGTAACATGCAAGTATAATGGTTATTTTTTATTTTTCTTTTTTTTCTGGAGCGGAGTTTCACTCTTGTCACCCAGGCTGGAGTGCAATGGCGCAATCTCGGCTTACTGCAACCTCCACCTCCCAGGTTCAAGCGATTCTCCTGTCTCGGCCTCTCAAGTAGCTGGGATTACAGGCACAAACCAGCACGCCCAGCTAATTTTTCTATTTTTAGTAGAAACAAGGTTTCACCATGTTGGCCAGGCTGGTCTCAAACTCCTGACCTCAGGTGATCCACCTGCCTTGGCCTCCCAATGTGCTGGGATTATAGGCATGAGCCACCGCACCTGGCCATTTTTAATTTTTGAAAAGATAACGTTGCACAGCACTGCAAAGCTAGATTTATTAAATTAATGAAACACTTATCTAGTAACTATTTTCAAAACCTGATTAACTGTTTTGTCCTATAACAAATAGTGATAGTGGCTAGGTATGGTGGTTCATGCCTGTAATCCCAGCACTCCGGGACGCCAAGGTGGGAGGATTACTTGAGCCCAGGAATTTGAAACCAGCCTGGGCAACACAGTAAGATCATGTCTCTACAAAAAATTTTAAAAATTAGTGGGCATGGTGGCATGGGGCGATAGTCCCAGCTACTAAGGAGGCTGAGGTGGGAGATCACTCGAGCCTGGGAGGTTAAAGCTTCACTAAGCTGTGATTGTACCACTGCGCTCCAGCCTAGAGTGCATGAAAAAACTTTTCTCATGTACCTTGTCTCAAAAAAAAAAAACAAAAAAAAAAAGAAAGAAAAGAAATAGTGATAGTAACAAGTGAGGACTCCATAAAATGTTTAGTGAAGTTAGATCTACTTTGAGATATGGGTAGAAATCTAGTCTAGAAAACAGAGTAGTTTAAGTTTCATGGATCTTGGGGTAATTTCTAATGAAAGGAAAGGCAGGCACTTCATTGAAAAACCTAAGTACATCCCTTAGGATCTGCCCTCTAGGATCCTGGCTATGACCCCATTCTGCTGGAAACCACGCGGACAGGAAGGGGCCTTTACCTGAGTGGCTTGTGCCAGGGAATCCTGAGTGACTTTGGTCAGTTTCCGTAGATATCGCCCATAAATTACAGCAATGATTGACACTGGAGGCACCACGCTCAAAACAAAGGTGGCCAGATTAGGTGAGACAAAAAACTGTCAAAAACAAAAAAAAATTCAGAGGTGTTTGTTACATTGGGTGGCAAGACATTCTCATTACCTACGAAAGGGGAGTGTGTGTGTGGGTGTGTCTGTGTGTGTGTGTGTTTAAATTAACAGCAGGCTTGAAGGTACTGTCCCCAAGTTGTTACATCCTGTTTTGATGGAATTTTTCAGACATCTTTATTCTTCACAAAACCCCATAAATATTCAGCATGCCACATAGAAGAAATGTGACAAGAAATTGCTGAAGAAAGAATCCTCAGGCCAATACTAGATCAGACCACGCGGTTTAACAACAGAGTGGGAAGAGACAGGATGGGGGTTTGGCAGAGGCCCATTCTGCTCCACGCTCCAGTCCACCTCAGGAGTTGTATATTCAGGTCTGAACCACCTGCAGGCACTGAACAACCACAGCAACACGTCCCATCAAAATGACCAAGATGGTGAAGTCACCAAAAAACCCCATTATCGGGTGGGGTGTGGTGGCTCACGCCTGTAATCTCAGTACTTTGGGAGGCCGAGGCGGGCAGATCACCTGAGGTCAGGAGTTCGAGACCAGCCTGACCAACGTGGTGAAACCCCATCTCTACTAAAAATACAAAAATTAGCTGGGTGTTGGGGCACGTGCCTGTAATCCCAGCTACTCGGGAGGCTGAGGAAGGAGAATCGCTTGAACCCGGGAGGTGGAGGTTGCAGTGAGCCAAGATTGAGCCACTGCACTCCGCCTGGGCAACAAGAGCAAAACTCCATCTCAAAAAAAAAAAAAAAAAAAACAGCACATTGCATAACAGTCAACAGAGGACTTGGAGGACACAACTAACAAGTCGAAGAAGAATTAGAGCTGCTTTTATGGCTCAGTGGACTGAAGTCAGCAGGATGGATCTGGGCTCAATATACTGAGGAGCTTCTAGCAATTGGAATTGCTGAAAGAATAACCTAACTTCTGGAAGTAAGTAACAGAGGGTTTTCCTGTCAACATTGCAATTTGGTGATTGTACTTTCAATAGTACTGGCATCTCTTCGACAAATTACTAAAATCTACCATATCTCATTTGCACAGAAAATAGTATAATCAGTACACGGCTAAATAATACTAAGGAAAAACTGCAAACTGAAACATAAGTGGATGGATCAACCAATCATTCACTCATTCATTTACTCATTCAACAAGTTATTACTGAGAGCCCACGTTACTGAGTGCAAGCACTATTCCAGGCACCTGGGAGATAACCAACCCTCACAGAGTTTTCATGCAAGAAAGAAGAGGTGAGACTTAGATAATAAACAAGTAAAAGAAAGAGAAAGTATCACTGCAGATGTAACACAATCTTGGAAGACCTCTCCCCCAAGAGGGAAGAGCCATTGCATAAAGGCCCTGAGGCAGAAAGGAGGTTGGCACCTTCACAGAGGAGCAAGCAGATGTGCATAGGAATGTCCCACCCTGAGAAGACAAGTCCATCAGGACACCTGGGGTGAGTCTTGGGGAACATAATCATATCTCTGATGGTCACCATCAGGACATGAGACCAACAGGGCAGGTCTAACACTTCTGGGGCCTGAACACAACTGATGTCAAAATGAACCAACTGGACAGGTGTCCTCTGTGTAGGGCAGGCACAGTCCATCAAGATTCTCCTAGAACTGTCCAGAACCACCCCCCTCCCTTCACTCTGGTTCCACACTTAATGAAAAACCTTCTGATGACTAATACAGGGTGCTGGCACCATAATGAAGTGTTTTGAATAGCAGAAATGGGCTAGGCATAGTGGCTCACGTCTGTAATCCTAGCATTTCGGGAGGCTGAGGCAGGCGGATCGCTTGAGCCCAGGAGTTCAAAACCAGTGGGCTGGGCAACATGGTGAGACACTGTCTCTATAAAAAATACAAAAATTAGCCGGGCATGGTGGCGCACGCCTGTGGTTCCAGCTACTCAGGAGGCTGACGTGGGAGGATCACTCGAGCTCGGGAGGCAGAGGTTGCAGTGAGCCAAGATGACACCACTGCACTACAGCCTAGGCAACAGGGTGAGACCTTCTCTCAAAAAAAAAAAAAAAAAAAAAAAAAGGAATAGCAGAAACACAACTTAATGGTGGGTAGGCCCACTATGTAAATTAATAAATTGGCAGTATGCCATACACAATATCAGGTTCTCATAACTGGACTTCCCCTATGTCAGGTCCATGAGTTTGTGCAGGAGAAACAAAGTCACATTTCTGATCCCCTAGAGCCAAAGATCAGATCCTAGGTGAAGCCACTTCCTGAGGCCCTTTTACAGACTGAATGGAAATTCCCCCTGAAATTCACATGTTGAAGCCTTAATCCCCACCATGGCTGTATTTGGAGATGGGGCCTCTAAGAAAGTAACTAAGGTTAAATGAGGTCGTTAAGTGTGGGGCCATGATCCAATAGGATTAGTGTCCTTATAAGAGACACTAGAGCACACTCTCTCTCCACTATGTGAGCACATGGCAAGATGGCAGCTGCCTACCAGCCAAGAGAAAAGGCCTCAGAATGAAGCTATTTTGCTAGCACCTTGACCCTGGACTTCTAACCTCCAGAATTGTGAGAAATACATTTCTGTTGTTTCAGCCAAGCCACAAGAAAAGGCCTCAGAATGAAACTATTTTGCTAGCACCTTGACCCTGGACTTCTAACCTCCAGAATTGTGAGAAATACATTTCTGTTGTTTCAGCCACCCAGTCTGTGGTATTATTATGGCATCCCAAACAGACCCCTTTGAATTGCTCATCTGACCTACACTGAATTCCCTTTCCTTGTTACAAAAAGTACCCCAAGTGATTTTTCCCAGCTTGAACTCTTCCTGATCCCCAAAACTATTCATATTTGGAAAACGGCATGTTAGTGCAGGAAGGGTCCTCTTCCAGAGGTTTGCTTCTCTCTTAGCTGGAAAATCATGAGATTTCAAAGCTGTTTTTCATTCCGTAAGTCAGATCTAATAGGCAACACACCCTTCCTCTCTAAGTGCTTCATGGGACACAAAGGACAGAATCCAAGCTTTTCCACTTGTGAGAAAGGATTATTTACAGTTCTTATTCCACGAGTCTAGAACTGCACTGCCCAAAACGATAGCCCTACTGGAAACTTGAAATGTGGCAGGTATGACTGAGACATTGACTTTTTAATTGTATTTAGGTTTAATTAAAATTTAAAAGCCTATACTCCATTCAGTTATTGGCAAACTATTAAGTATGTCTGGAAAACTTGAGTATGTCAAACTACTTTTTCAATTGTACATTTTATAAAATCTAAATATAGATCAAGTACTTTCAATGAAAATTTAGCATCCGAATTAAGATGTTCCTTAAGTAGAGAATACACACCAGATTTGGAAATTCAGTTGACCTTTGAACAACATTGGTCTGAAATGCATGGGTCAACTTATACATAGATTTTCTTCCATCTCTGCCACCCCTGAGACAGCAAGAACAACCTTTCTTCCTCCTCTCAGTCTACTCAGTGTGAAGACAATGAGGATAAATACTTTTGTGATGAGCCGGGCGCAGTGGCTCACGCCAGCAATCCCAACACTTTGGGAGGCTGAGGCAGGCAGATCACGAGGTCAGGAGTTCAAGACCAGCCTGGCCAACATAGTGAAACCCCATCTCTACTAAAAATACAAAAAAATTAGCGAGGCGTGGTGGCTGGCACCTATAATCCCAGCTACTCGGGAGGCTGAGGCAGGAGAATCACTTGAACCCGGGAGGAGGAGGTTGCAGTGAGCCAAGATCGTGCCATTGCACTTCAGCCCGGATGACAGTGCGATACTCCGTCTCAAAAAAAAAAAAAAAAAGCTTTTATGATGATCCACTTCCACTTAATAAATAATAAATATATTTTACCTTCCTTATGATTTTCTTAATACCATTTCTTTTTTCTAGCTTACTCTGTTATAAGAACATAGTATATAATACATATACCAAATACATGGTAATTGACTGTTAATGTTATCAGTAAGGCTTCTGGTCAACAGTAGGCTATTAGTAGTTGAGTTTTTAGGGAGTCAAAAGTTATACTTTGATTTTTGACTGTGTGGGCTTCAGTGTCCCAACCCCTGCATTGTTCAAGGGTCAACTATAATATGAAAGAAATAATATAAAATACCTCATTAATAATTTTGATATTAATTACATCTTGAGATGACAATATTTTGTTTATACTGGCTTAAACAAAACATTATTAAAATTAATCTCAGCCAGGTACAGTGGCTCAAGCCTGTAATCCCAGCACTTCAGGAGGCCGAGGCAGGAGGATCACTTGAGGCCAAGAGTTTGAGACCAGCCTGGGCAACATAGAGAGACCCTGCCTCTACAAAAAATATATATATATATTCTTTAAATTAGCCAGACTTGGTGGTGTGTGCCTGTAGTCCCAGATACTTGGGAGACTGAGGTGGGAGAATCACTTGAGCCCAGGAGTTTAAGACTGCAGTGAGCTATGATCTTGCCACTGTACTCCAGCCTGGGTAACAGAGTGAGACTGTCTCTAAAAAAATTAAAATTAAAAAAAAAATTAATCTCATTGGCTTCTTTTTGCTTTTTTAAATGTGGCTACTAAAACATTAAAATCACATATGTGGCTTGCATTGCCTCTCCAATGACCTGCAGCACTGGGCTGAATAGAAATACTGGTTGAAGAGGTAAGGCAAGCAGACAGGACAGGCACAAGCCACCCAGTTAAGGAAAGGAAAAAAGGCCATGGGAGTGAAGAGCTCTCCCCTTAAAAGAGCACAGTTCGACTTACACACACAGAGGAATGGAATTTAGTCACCGCTTGGTGCCACCCACAGGGTAGTACCCAGTGCTCCTTCTACCTGATGCTCTTTTCTGCCTTAATACCCCGGGTACACACATCTCAGAATACCCAGCAGTAACACATGAGTCCATTTTCCAGATAATCACTCATTCTGGAGAAATGAAGGTACAAGAGGCCATGCAGGCAGAGGCAATCCCCACGTTCCAGCAGCTTCTGCAACAGCACTTTTGGCTCTAGGCACTTACAGAATGATGCGAACCGCTCAGCTTGAGCTCGTCTCACACGTGAGAGGCCTGGTGCAAGCCAAGCCCTGGCAGGAAGGTACCAAGGGGAACCAGGCCCACATACCATCATACTGATGCCTACGGAAGCCTGGGCCCCGGCCCTGAGCCCATCTGAGAGGTTTTCAGTCACTGAGCGCCCCAGGAGTGCAGTGTCTGATGAGAGGCGGTTAATCAATTCTCCTGTGCGAGTCTTGTCAAAGAAAGCAACCTCCTGCCTCAGAATGGAGGAGAATAATGAAGTTCTCAGCCTATTCACAATGCGCTGACCTGCAAAAGCAAACACGAACAGGCTCACCAAGGGTAAAGACATCCATTACCATTATGGGGCAGCCACTTACTGTGCAGCAGCTTGGCCTGGAGTTGTAACCCTCCTGAGCAATGCAGCCTCTGAGCGTGTCTGCTGCACTGTATCCCATGGGTGGAAAGAGACTTTCCCAAACCAGGCACATTAACTGTCATGCACTACTAACACTACTTTTCTCTTATTAACTACAGACTGTGGGCGCTAGTGAGAGGATACAGGAATAAAATAAATATAACATGACTCAGAGGCCTTTTTTATTTTTACTTTTTTTTTTTTTTTAAGAGACTGGGTCTTGCTCTATCACCCAGGCCTGAATGAAGTGGCACGATCACAGTTCACTGTAACCTCAACCTTGTGGGCTCAAGCCATCCTCCCACCTCAGCCTCCTGGGTAGCTGAAACTACAGATGTCCGCCACTACACCCAGCTAACTTATTTTTATTTTTTATATAGACGGAGTCTTGCTATGTAGCTCAGGCTGGTCTCAAACTCATGGGCTCAAGCAATCCTCCTGCCTCAGCCTCCCAAAGTGCTAGGATTACAGGCATGAGCCACCACACTTGGCCGAGATTTTTTTAAGGTATTATTTACAAAGAAGTTTTATTACATTAACTTCCAAAAGCTCATTTTGTTCCTCCCTGGAAACCCTTTCCTGTATTGAACCTTCAAATGGCAAGAATTGGTTAATTATCCACAGAGATAAATGGAGAGCAACAGACTTCGAGTTGGTGTCCCAGGTTCTCTCATTATTGTGGCAGTGACCTGCCTGTAAAAACAAGACCTCTTCAGAGAAATACTAACAAAGTTATCATCCCAGCTGCTACTTAAGGAGAAACACAAGCATGGGGCATGTAAATGGGTTTCTGAAGCCTTCAGGAAGCCTCAGAAGTCCAGCTTCATGGCCAGGGGCCTCATTTTCTTTTTTTTTCTTTTTTTTTTTTTTGAGATGGAGTCTCGCTCTGTCCCCCATGCTGGAGTGCAGTGGTATGATCTGGGCTCACTGCAACCTCTGCCTCCCAGGTTCAAGCGATTCTCCTGCCTCAGCCTCCTGAGTAGCTGAGATTACAGGCACACACCACCACGCCCGGGTAATTTTTGTATTTCTAGTAGAGACGGGGTTTCACCATGTTGGCCAGGCTGGTCTCGAACTCCTGACCTCATGATCCACCTGCCTCAGCCTCCCAAAGTGCTGGGATTACAGGCATGAGCCACGGCACCCAGCCCGAGGGGCTTATTTTCAAACCTCCCATAAGACCGACATGATTGCCCTTACAGCTCAACTTCAACTATAAAAGAAGAGTTGAGAGTGCTTGATCTAAAATAATCTGTAACTCCAACATCTGGGCAGTCATTGGACTCTATCCCCACTTAATGGGATGCCAGGAAGAGAGGAAGAGAATGGAGCCTGGAGCACATGAGATTTGAGCCCGAACAAACCCACAGGACTCTACATCTTCTTCAGGATGACTCACATCCCTGAGAGGAGAGACTGTTACCTGAAGTTTGCATGAGGTAGACACGAATGGCATTGGCGGCAGCACCACACAGAAACACGGCACTGAGCCCTAGGCAGAGGCGGGTCAGGTTGTCGCTGTAGTCCACAGTGGGGTTGGTATAGATGACATCAATGATCTTCCCCAGGAAGAAAGGGGCAGACATGGAGATAACACTGGACATCGTGAGAAATCCAACCGCAGCTAGAAAACACAAGCACTCTCAATGTTCAGGTTGCTTCAGCAAAGGGGCTGCGGTGCTGAGTCCAGGAGGCTTCCTTGCCAAATAAGCTGTTGTCAGAGTATGCGTTGATCTCAGTCTCTAGCAGTTTCCTCCCTTTTGCTCCTCGATCTCTGACTCAAGGGAAGAACCAAATGGTTCCAGGTGAGAACAAGCAGGTTGACTAAGGAAGTGAGTGATCATATCTGAATCAGAGAAGATGACTTCTTAGTCTGATCAACTCTTCCTCACCAAGAAAAACTGGGAGCCAACTATGGAACCGTTCTGGCCAGCCCCTTCCTCCCCATCTCTTGATTTTGGTGTTCATCAGATTGTATTTTTCCTCCATTCATGCTATACATGCTATACTCCTTGGCATCTAACTATATTGTAACTTGAAGATCAAGCTGTCTAGTTAAAGCCCTTGATTACATCTAGTATCTCAAAACACTCTGTCTACGGCCATACACTCTGAACGCACCCAATCTTGTCTGACCTCAGAAGCTACGCAGGGCGAGGCCTCACTAGTACTTGGATGGGAGACTGCCTGGGAATACAAGGTGCTGCAGGCTTTAAACAAACAAACAACCCATTCCAGATAACTTTTGGAAAACCGTTTCACGGATCATTACACAGAAGCAAATGTCAATAAAACATGTGATATATTGCTTCTTAATATTGTATTATTGCTTTGCGAAATATCAACATGATATGAAAATAAATATGAACAGGATTGTTCATGCACCTAAAAAACAGGCAAACAAGATAGAGTCTTATCTGAAGAGAAAATATTGGCTTGGCACAGTGGCTCATGCCTGTAATCCCAGCACTTCAGGAGGCTGAGGTGGGTGGATTGTTTGAGCCCAGGAGATCCAGACCAGCCTAGACAACATGGCAAAACCCTGTCTCTACAGAAAATACAGAAACTAGCCAGGGTGGTAGCATGCACCTGTAGTCCCAGCTACTCAGAAGCCTGAGGTAGGAGGATTACTTGAGCCCAGGAGGTCGAGACTGCAGTGAGCCATGATTATGCCACTGCACTCCAGCCTGGGTGACACAGCAATATGCTGTCTCCAAAAAAAAAAAAAAAAAAAAAAATTTTAGAAAATCCACATAAATAGGCCAGGTATGGTGGCTCACGCCTGTAATCCCAGCACTTTGGGAGGCCAAGGCGGGTAGGTCACTTCAGCTCAGGAGTTCAAGACTACCATGGCCAACATGGTGAAACCCTGTCTCTACTAAAAAAAAAAAAAAATACAAAAAATTAGCCAGGTGTGTTGGTGCGCACCTGTAGTCCTAGCTACTTGGGAGGCTGAGGCAAGAGAATCGCTTGAACCCAGGAGGTGGAGGTTGCAGTGAGCCAAGATTGTGCTGCTACACTCCAGCCTGGATGACAGAGCAAGACTCTGTCTCAAAAAAAAAAAAGAAAAGAAAAGAAAATCCAATTAGTAACAACACATATCACAGATAACTGCATTCATAATAAGACAAATGCATTTTTTTAAAAGATAGTGATGGGGGTCTCACTATGTTGCCCAGGCTGGTATCAAACTCCTGGCCTCAAGCAGTCCTCCCATCTCAGCCTTGCAAAGTGCTGGGATTGTGGGCATGAGCCACTGCACCCAGCAAAAAGTATTACTGTTATATAACCTTAATAAAGAGTCCAGAGCAAACTCAGTGCCAACTGGACATTTAGTCGACAAACAGAGTTCTAGGAAAAACATGGGCCTTTTTAAGTGGGGAACATTTAGAAAAATTGCTCTTGCCCCTCCTTAAGGTCTTTATAAAGTCCCCTCCCCAAAAAGGCCTGCTCTGACAGCCTCACTTAAAATACAGACACCCTACACTACCCACCTCACTCCCTCTCCATTTGTGTTCTCGAAGCTCCTACCTTTCAGCATTCTAAATGTTTCACTTGTTTATTTAGTTTCTCTCTCCATTAGGACATAAAAGATTTTGGTCTGCTTTGTCACTGATTGCCTACAGTGACAGGCACATAGGAGAATCTCAATCACTATTTTGTTGGATGAACAAACAAATAAATTGAACTTTGGCAATGGAAGCAATAACGTCTATCAGATCAAAATTCTTCAATAGCCTAAGCAGAAATGTGAATTCTGGCAGCTCATAAAGTCCATATGCCTGGCTTAAAATCCCATAATCACAATCTAACTGAATAATAGGAAGCTGGGCAAGGGTCACTTCATTTTGACGTAAAGCCCGGGGTCTTGTTTCAAAGCACCATGCTTCTTACAACAGTGCCCAAAGGGGCTTGAAGGCCCAAAGGACAGGGAGTGTGTCTAACTTGAGGTTCCGAGTACCTCAGCCTCGATGAACTGGCAGCTCCAGAAAGAGTCATCCTGGCAAATTCAGGATTCAGCAGAAAATTCTTTTTGTCCTTCATCAGTAGCTAATCTCTGTTCTTTCGCCTCAGTGAATAATTCCGAAAGCACAGTGTATGTGACCTGCTATATAAAGGTCCACCTCTTCCCTCCTCCTCTAGTTTTCTAAATCAGTTATGATTCTACAATACGAATCCATATGACATGAATGAAATGCCCCCTAATTATGATTCTGAGTCTTGTTCTCACATAGTAATAATGCTGATTACAAAGAGGAAGTAATTTAGCTGAATCCAAATTAATTTCAGGATATCCCCCCACACTTTTACTTTTTAATAATCATTTAAAAATTATCAGCTTGTTTTATTGTCATTTGCTTCTTTGTCCAATTTGAATGTAAGAAAAGTAAAATATTTTTTGGCTTTTAGTTAACTGGATTCTTGTTAATCAAGATCTGACTACATATCACTGTCTTCTGATATTAATGAATACTTTAGACTTGCTCCATAAACATCATTTCAGATTCCACCACAAGCCCTGGACACAACTGAGCATACTGCAATTCTGAAATTCTCCCACACCTTTTCTCCATAGTTAAGTCTCTTGCTTGCCCCCACCCTTGCCTGATGCGGCCCCAGCAACTTCTCCCATTATCTATTTCTTGACAGATACCTTCAAGTATCTTTGTTACCTCATTCTACTGAATTGCAGCAAAGATGGAAACAAATATCCTTCAAAAGAAAGGGGAAGGAAAATCTGAATTGCAGATTGCTGGACAACAGCGCTGGATAGAAGAGGTTGGGGGTGGTTGGAGGAAGCTGTACACTGTGCCTACCACCTGCCCACTGCTGAACAGGGCACCCATCTGGTTATATCAGGCAGGTACAGCAATCCCCACTGTCATTCAAGGACTCAAAGGCAGCACTTCAGAGTCCTCACCATTATCTGAAGGATCTGGCATCCATCATCTTAAATCCTCCCTTTCACCCTCATCTTATCCTCGTTTTTCAGAGAGGAATCTCGAACACAGAGAGAGGGAGCCTACGCAAGGTCTCCCAATTTACACATCACAGAACCACATTCTGCGACAAAGCCTGTCTTTGGCATCTTCCCACATCCCAAGCAGAGGAAGAGGAAGCACAGGCCTCACCTTGGAATCAGGGAAGGGAGCAGAAAGCCTGGCAGGATGGAGCAGGGGCAGAGACCTCATGGGTGCACAGGAAGGAGAACTGAGAAATGAAATGAAGCCTCTAGATTATAGAACAGAAGGATTTTGTGGCAAGGTCGGCCTAAAAGGGCTTTACACTGGGGAATGATCCAGCCAGATTTGCTTTTTTTTTTTGAGATAGAGTTTCCCTCTTGTTGCCCAGTGCAATGGCGCAATCTCAGCTCACTGCAACCTCCACCTCCCAGGTTCAAGCGATTCTCCCGCCTCAGCCTCCCGAGTGGCTGGGATTACAGGCATGCGCCACTATGCCTGGCTAATTTTGTATTTTTAGTAGAGATGAGGTTTCTCCATGTTGGTCAGGCTGGTCTTGAACTGCCGACCTCAGGTGATCCGCCCGCCTCAGCCTCCCAAAGTACTGGGATTACAGGCGTGAGCCACCGCACCCAGCCAGATTTGCATTTTTAAATGATCCACTCTGGCTACAGAGCGAAAGGAGCAGCGGACAGAGCACTGTTCTAGTGCCCTAGGTGAGAAGCAAACTTAGGGCGAAGTAGGCTGGGGACAGAGGGATAAAGGGCAGAGTATAGGACTACAGATATTTTTAAGAACTAGGACGTGATGACTGGTTGGATGTGAGCATTTTTCCTCTCTGAAAAATGAGGATAAGATGAGGGTTAAAGGGAGGATTTAGGATGAGGAATGCCTAACCTAGGAGGGCCGTTTTGAGGTTGAGTTGGTCAGCATTGGGTCGGAACCCTGACGAACTCAACCTCAGAACCGGCCCTCCTAGGTTAGGCATTCGTTATCTTAAGTTCTCCTTTTAAGCTCTGCCATCTAGCTGTTTGACCTTGCATAAGTCACTCCATCTCTCTGTGCCCAGTTTCCTCATTTGTAAAATGGCAATAGAAACAATCCCTCCCTCACAGAATTATGAGTAAACTACACACATATTCAAAGCATCTGGTACAATGCCCAGGGCTGAGTACACAAGAAATATTAACTATTATCTTTATTACTACCATTATAAGAACAACCCATGTCTCTGGCCAAGGCCAAGAGGTTCGCACTGCAGTCTCTCTCACTGAACCAAGAGACAGAAGAGGAAAGATGCTTTGCGGAGAAAGGTAACTTTGGTTTTTAGACATGTTTGGTTTGCTGGAGTCTGGGACACATTTCCACGGATGCAGGTGGGTGTGATGGAGAACACAGGAGTTGAGGGTGTGGGGGAGATGGAGGCTGAGTGAAGAGACTCGGCATCTGCGCTGGGTAGAGAATGAGTGAGGACATGAGCGGCTGACAGATGAGAAGGGAGTAGAGGAAGAAGCCAGGGACTCCAGGTTCTGGAAATCTGGAGAAGAAAGATCTGAGCCCCCATGTGTCTGGTGCAAGATCAGACTGTCTCTGTCCATGCTATTAGCATGCTCTAGAGTTAGGAGTATCCCAAAGACAAAATTAAAATAAAACAGTTAGGGGTACCTGTCCCATGAACCACAGGAGGGTTCGCCATGGACTCTAACAGACATACGATGGGAGCCACCTAGGTAATTTAAACTTCTCTAGTTGCCACATTATAAAAAGGAATACGTAAAATTAATTTTAATAACATTTTACTTGACCCAATATATCCAAAATATTATCCACACATGATCAACATAAAAAATTAGTAAGATATTTTACATTTTTTCTCTACTGTCCTTCTGGAATCTGATGTGACAGCACAGCTACAGAATGCTCAGTTTCGCTGAAACAATGTATTTCTGTAGCACACGCACATCCCTGGCTTTCGGGGGCAGTTCCGATTTCAAAGGTTCATCCATCCCAGCCCCCACAGGGCACTGTCCCTGCGGGATCTCCATCCTCACTGGGCTTCAGGAAGTAGCTACTCTGGCCTCCTTGCCCACCATACCCACTGCTTTTGTCACTATATTCACTGTGGTCACTCACGGCCCATCTTCATAAAATGCAACTACAAACTCAGCAAAAGCTGCCAGCAGGCTTCAGGTTCTCAGAGCAGTCCTGCCCTCAAACCACACACCAGCCCCTTATCAGTAACTGCAGTGAGAGGAGCCCTCCTGAGTCCTCCACACAGGCACCAACTGAACATGCCCCAGCGGAGGGGATACATGTGTGCAGTCCACAGTTTAATGAAGGCATGCTGCCCACCCCGCCGAAGCCCCCCACACAAAAAACCTCCAGGAGGCAGCTTTGCCCTAATCTCACAGTACTGTAGGGGCCCACATTTGCTCCTAAAACCCTGCCCCTAACTCACTCAGGTCAGAGCCTCATCTATCTGCCAGGCACAGCCAGACGGTTCTGATGAAGTGTCGCTTATCCCATCAATCCACACCCTGCTCCTCCTCAAGCACCTGCATCTTTTAAGAGTCCTTCTGGCCAAAGTGATACGATGGAGAATTATCAGTGAAAAGGGACCTTACATCTGTATGAAGACAGCTGCGAATTCCTCCCCAAAGGGGCGGCTTAGGCCTTCCTTTAGAAGAGGAATGTAACACAGTTATGCTAAAGCTGCTTTCAGCACACGTCTGTACATATTTCATGGTAGACTGTGTTTTTAAAGTTTCTGATGCAATCAAAGTTTTCTGTTCACACAGTTTAGGAGGCATACCCAGCAAAATGCTGAGACAGATGGAGGTATTATTATTAAAATATAAAGCTGCATTTTTGAAAAAAGATTTTTGTATTTTTCTAAAAATTAACAAATTAACATTGGAATTCCTTTTCAGCTCAGCTTTTTTAGTGTTTTGATTAGAAAATACACACACGCAATTGCTCTTTACCTCCAGCATTTCAAAGAGATGTGCCAACACCTCAGGCTGCTCTTAGAATGATAAATTACACATTTTTTTTTAATTACAAATTAACAATGACCACCACTTCCTCTTAATCCTAACTGGCTTTAATATATAATAACTTCTCAGGAAATCATACATCTAAATAAGGGCTTTTTATCAGATATCCTTATCCTCATAACATACAATATGTATTTATCTGTTTGAAAAGCAAAAAAAAAAAAAAAAATAGTGTGCCAACCCTAGGCTTGTTTCTTCAAATTATATATTCATAATTTCTCAATGTGGTGGAACAAAATATATTCTGTTCTTAAAATAAAAAGAAGGCCGGGTGCAGTGGCTCACACCTGTAATCCCAGCACCTTTGGAAGGCCAAGGTGGGCAGATCACCCGAGGTCGGGAGTTCGAGACCACCCTGACCAACATGGAGAAACTCTGTCTCCAAAAATACAAAATTAGCCGGGTATGATGGCACATGCCTGTAATCCCAGCTACTTGGGAGGCTGAGGCAGGAAGATCGCTTGAACCCGGGAGGCGGAGGTTGCGGTGAGGTGAGATCACGCCATTGCACTCCAGCCTGGGCAACAAGAGCAAAACTCCATCTCAAAAAAAAAAAAAAAAGGTACGAGCTGGGTGTGGTGGCACATGCCTGTAGTCCCAACTACTCAGGAGGTAGAGGCAGAGCTGCTTGAGCTGAGGAGTTCAACACAAGTCTCAGCAACACAGTGAGACCCCTATCCCAGAAAAACAAAAGAAGAAAGAAAAAAGGAGGCAGTCTCGTCTTGTTTAAGGCTGTCACCAAAACATACTAGCATGGCAGGATATCTGGGGACAGAGTGAGGGGTCACAGGAACAATGGTCATGGCATAAGAGGACTGGGCACGTGTAGGCCACCAAAGCCTGACACCTAAACACCCTTCCTGACATCTAGTATTTCAGAAACAAAACAGAACTGGATTTCCTTACACTTACTTTGAGTCACATACAGAAGTGGTGGGCGCACCCGATGATGCTCAGGGTTTCTAAAGGCCTCACTCTGTGCCTGGTGGTATGGTCATTTATTCCTTCACTGAAGGCACTCTGAGCGCCTGCTCTGTGCCGTGCACATGCTAAGAACTAGAGACAGAAAGATGAATCGCACAGTCCCCGTCTCAAGCAGCTCAAAGTCCAGTGAGAGCTCCTAGTCTCCAATGTTTTTAAAAAGAGGAAAGAGAAAAAGATATTTTACAACAAAATCTACACTCAACCAACTGAACAATGAAATAATTCTCTTTACACCCGAGTGATATCAACAGCCCCCTAAGCTTTCATAGCAACTGGTAGATGAAAAGTCGCCACCCTAACTGCTCTCCTCCACTGTGCAAACCTACTCTAAATCCCAAATCACTACCCAGGAGGGTCCTTTCTAAAGCAATGGATTTGCAGCAAAGAATGCTTTTCTGGTGTTGCACCTGACAACCTCACAGGCCCCACAGGCCCCCTTCCACAGCCCACAGGTGCAGGTTTACCTCTATACATACGAATATTTCATAGATGCTTCTCCCCACTAACCTAGAAGCCCCAGCAGAAGTGAGGACCATGTTTCCTTGTGCATGCCACTGTAAACCCAGGGCCCAGTCCAGAATGAGGGCTCAACAGATGTTTATAGAAGGAGTGAAGATTTAGAGAAATCGAAAAAATTTTAGATCTTACAAGGCCCTTGCATCTAAACACTCCTCCAATTATGGCTAAAAAATGAGGAGCTATAGAAAACTGTCCTATTTAAATTTTGTTTCTAAAAACATTCATTTTGGCTTCTTTTAAAAAAGTTACTCAATTACTGAACAGATCACTGGTGTGGCCTGTTGAACACAGTGCTGTAACTTCCTGCACAAGAGACAAGTCTGAAAGTTTTGCTTTCCGCTGTGAAAGCATTGGTGACTGCTTGACAGACTCGCTTGAAGCAAATAATGTGTTTTTGGTTAAAAAAAAAAAGTATAAACGCCTAATAACAAAATAGGCATATTTTTGGCTAGAATTTTTTTTTCCAAGGAAAAACCTCCAGCTCATTTTGCTGCCTAAGCCAAAACAGATGCTCCCACTAAGTTGGTGGTGGAACAGACCCAAAGATTCCAATAATGACATATATAACGTGTGTCAACAAGAAAACAAGTGTAAAATCTGCAAACGAGTCCCCAGCTAAGGCGAAATCTTGACAACGCTACTCTGAGGTGAGCGATCCCCTCCCTCCTCCGGGGTTAGGAGTGGCCCAGGAGAGGCGGCGGTGACACGCGCTCTGCGGCCCGGCCGTGTCCCTCTCGGCGCCCCGGGACCCCGCGTGTGGAGAAGGAGAGGCCCGGCGGAGGGAAGTGGCCGGGGAGGACCCTACCTGCCAGCCTCCGGCGCTCAGGGTACGCCAGCCCCAGGAGCTTCCGGGCCTCCGGGAGTCCGGCCGCTGCGGGGCGCAGCCGCCCCTTGTCCCCGGGAGGCGCCGCCGGCCCGCGCCGCCAGGCCTCGTCCCCTGCCCAGGCAGCGGCTGCGGGACCGCCCGGGAACCGGGCGCGCGGGAGCCGAGGAGCGCCTGGCCCGGCAAAAGCCCCGCACCTGCAGCTGCCGGGGCCGCGAGCCCACAGCCCCAGGAGCCGCGCGAGGCCCAGGACGCCCCGCGAGGCGCCCGGACCCCCGCCCCGGCAGCCGCTCCTCCAGCGGCGCGCGGCTCCAACGCCCCAGAGCAGCGCGGGCCCCGCGCCCCATAGCCGCGCCGGCCTCAGGCCAGTGAACGGCGATAGGGACCCGGGAACGCGGCTGGCCGCGGCCCACACGCAGGCTACCGGCAGGAGCCGACCTGGCTCGGCAGGGCTCGGTGGCTCGAGCAGCCGCAGCGGCCAGGCAGGGGGGCCTCGCATGGCGCTGCGTGCGACCCGTACGCCTCAGCCCGCCGGCCAGGCGCGCGCAAAGCCCGAGGACCCTCCCGGCCCGGCCCCGAGCAAAGGGCGTGGACGCGGTGGCGCCCGCCCCTCCCCGCTGGCTGTCACCCGCCTTATCGTGCCTGCACCCTCGGGCTGCGCCCGCCCCCGCCCCATCCTCGTCCGCGCGGTGCCGCGCCTCTCCGCCCCACTCCGGGGACTGCAGCTACCCGGACCTTGCAAGCCACCCTTCCGAGCGCCCCCAACCCGCTCGGGTGCCCTCCCTGCAGCGCCCCCAACTGCCCGCTGGCGGAGGAGCGCCGGGCGCGCCAGCTGGGACGAGGCCCGGGAAGCCCAGGAGCACGGCTGCGCCTGCGTACTGGGCGCAGGGAACTTTTTCGCGCTTCGCCGTCCCCTCTGGTCTGAACTTGGGAACGACACGAGCTCTTTCTCACGCCGGCAGACCGGGCGGAGCGCGCAGACGCGACCACACGATGGCCGGCACAAAGATGGGGCGGGAGGACAGCGTGCTGGATACGGCGTGGGGCGGGTCCGCGGCCCGGGAGACCCATGCTGGGGCGGCCCTGTCACTCGTCTCGCTGCCAAGCACAGGGCTGAGGTGCGGAGGGACCACTGAGAGGACTTCGCTGCGTGTCAGCTCAGCTCTGGACGGCGTGGAGGAGGTGGTTGGCGAATAGTGAAATGTATATAACTTTGAGAAGGGAAGAGATCGTTTCTTTTTTTTCTTTTTTTTTTTTTTCTTGAGACGATCTCGGCTCACTGCAACCTCTGCCTCCCAGGTTCAAGTGATTCTCCCTTCTCAGCCTCCCAAGTAGCTGGGATTACAGGCATACGCCACCACACCCGGCTGATTTTGTATTTTTAGTAGAGACGGGGTTTTACCATGTTGGTCAGGCTCTTTTCGAACTCCTGACCTCAGGTGATCCGCCCGCGTCAGCCTCCCAAAGTGCTGGGATTGCAGGCGTGAGCCACCGTGCCCGGCCTGAGATCGTTTCTTAACTAGAGCAGAAATTTGAAGACAGGCGTGGTCGAGGCATTCCCGCTGTTCGAAGTGGAAAACACTAATCAGAAGGCAATGCATCTTAATACACGTGCATGGAAAGACAGGAGAGAACATTAAAACTCACTGGGACACTTTATGGAGACTTCATGGGGGCGGGGGGGGATATGTACCTGAGGTCCAGTGAGTCGTGGGTAGATTTTTGTAGACTCCTAGGTATTTTTACTGGACCTGGACAGGGTACTGTCAGTTGCAAATTTTATGGGTTCACAAAATAAAAAAACCTCAATAATCAACATAAACATTTTAGTGCAATATTTTTAAAAATCAAAATTAATTTAAAAAATCCGTAATGAACAAAATATAAAAAATTTTGATTGAGTATCCACTCCTGACCTTTCACAATCCTGCCTCTCTTCTCTCGCTCTAATCCCAGCCCTGGAAACTTTATTTACAAAAACTGACAGCAGCTGCCCTTAGTTTGGCAGCTGGAAAATGGGAAAGAGAAAGTAAGAGGAAGGTGAGATTTGGGTTAAAGTTGTCACTTTCTCTTCAACTGGGAGGGTATCAATCCTTGATGTTTCTTTAGTTGGGCTCAAAAAGGAGGTAGCGGCCGGGCGCGGTGGCTCACACCTGTAATCCCAACATTTTGGGAGGCTGAGGCGGGCGAATCACGAGGTCAGGAGTTCGAGACCAGCCTGACCGACGTGGTGAAACCCCGTCCCTACTAAAAATACAAAAATTAGCCAGGTGTGGTGGAGCGTGCCTGTAATCCCAGCTACGCAGGAGGCTGAGGCAGGAGAATTGCTTGAACCCGGGAGGCGGAGGTTGCAGTGAGCTGAGATGGTGCCACACCGCACTCCAGCCTGGGAGACAGAGCAAGACTCCGTCTCAAAAAAAAAAAAGAAAAGAAAAAAAAAGAGGAGGTAGCGGCCAGGCGGTGGCTCACACCTGTAATCCCAACATTCTAGGAGGCCGAGGCGGGCGGATCACTCCAGGTCTGGAGTTTGAGACCAGCCTGGCCAACATGGTGAAACTCCATCCCTACTGAAAATACAAAAATTAGCTGGGCTTGGTGGTGCATGCCTGTAGTCTCAGCTACTTGGGACGCTGAGGGAGCATAATCGGTTGAATCCAGGAGGTGGAGGTTGCAGTGAGCTGAGATCACGTCACTGCACTCCATGCACTCTAGCCTGGGCGACACACCAAGACTGCATCTTTTCAAAACAAAATAAAAACAAAAAAAACACAAAGAGGAGGTAGCAAGATGCACAATGAAAACGATCCCATTTCTTTTCAGAAGTCACCTCATAAAAACTGACTTAAAAATTTTCAATTAAAATAAATTTTGCATGATTTGATTACTGAGACTTTTTAGCACATCTTTAAATTTTGTCCCTAGTAGAGTGCCTTAAGTATATGGTCCTGGTAGGTAAGGAGTGAGGTGGGGGAAGGATCGATAATAGAAAGTGTGGGGTTAAGTCGGGCCTTAAATGTGCCTGTGAAATGAGCAGTAAGCATGTAATCCTCTAAAGTCCAACCTCTTAAACCCAGAGGACATGGAGTCTCGCCTCCCTACCCCCGCCCCCCCACTTTCCTGCCCCCAGGGTGACGACAATTCAAGCTAGTTTCTCATCAGTGCAGAAGTTCTAGAATTGGTGGTGTAGTGTGAAATCAGCTCCACTGATATTTATGACTAAGCATGTTCCTTTTAGCAAATATGTTATTCAGTGACTTCTGAAAAGAAGTAGGATCATGCCTCATCATGCATCCTGCTACCTCTTCTTTGAGCCCAGCTGAAGAAACATCAATGAACGACACTCTCCCAGTTGGAGAGAAAGTGACAATTTTAACCTAGACCTAAGCTTCATCTTTCTCTTACCCACTTTCCAGAAAACCCCTGCTGCTGCAAGGGCCAGGAAATGTCAGACTGGCCTTCCCTTCCTGCCTTCCCTGGCATGGCATCCCACTGCCTTTTTCTGCCATTGCTCTCTAAGGCCTCCAGTCAATAGAAAAATAACTCAAGTGTAGCTGATTAAAAAACAAAACTTGGCCAGGTGTGGTGGCTCACGCCTGTAATCCCAACACTTTGGGAAGCCAAGGTGGGAAGATCATTTGAGGCCAGGAGTTTGAGACCAACCTGTGCAACACTGGGAGACTCCATCTGTACAAAAACTAAAAATGTAAAAATTAGCTGGGTGTGGTGGTGTGTGCCTGTAGTCCCAGATACTTGGGAGGCTAAAGTGGAAGGATTCCCTGAGCCCGGCAGGTCAAAGCTTCAGTGAGCTGTGATTGGGCCACTGCACTCAAGCCTGGGCAACAGAGTGAGACCCTGTATCAAGAAAAAAAAGAAAGCCTGTAATCCCAGCACTTTGGGAGGCTGAGGTGGGTGGATCACCTGAGGTCAGGAGTTCAAGACCAGCCTGGCCAACATGGTGACACTTCATCTCTACTGAAAACACAAAAATTAGCTGTGTGTGGTGGTGGGTGCCTGGAATCCCAGCTACTGGGGAGGCTGAGGCAGGAGAATGGCTTGAACCCAGGAGGCGGAGGTTGCAGTGAGCAGAGATCACACCACTGCACTCCAGCCTGGGCAACAGAGCAAGACTCTGTCTCAAAAAAAAAAAAAGAAAGAAAAGAAAAAAAAAGTCTATAGCTCTTAAAAGTACAATGGGGAATGAATATTAGCAGAAGGATCACCTGGACCTATATTGCCATCACAACAACAACAACAAAAAAGATGACCTACTCTAAATATATATATATATATGTTTATATAACATATACATTTCATATATATATGAATTATTGCTTTGCATTTCTATGACCTTCTCTTCTCACTTGAAAATAAGAATAACTTCACTGCCTCTTTTTTTTTTTTTTTTTTGAGACAGAGTCTCACTTTGTTGCCCAGACTGGAGTGGGCTCACTGCAACCTCCACCTCCCAGGTTCAAGCAATTCTCCTGCCTCAGCCCCCTGAGTAGCTGGGATTACAGGCGCCCACCACCACGCCTGGCTAATTTTGTATTTTTAGTAGAAAAGGGGTTTCACCACATTGGCCAGGCTGGTCTCAAACTCCTGACCTCTGGTAATCCGCCTGCCTCGGCCTCCTAAAGTGCTGGGATTACAGGCATGAGTCACTATGCCCGGCTCTTCACTGCCTCTTTAGAAATTAGGATCAAGTTCCTGGGCCTCTGAAAAAAGCAAAAAAAGAAATAAATAAAGACAAAAAACAAAACAAAAAATGCTCTAAGGTGTGTTTGGAAAAGAATAAAACAAGCCAGTTAGATGTGATTGGATTAATAAAATACCACAGCAAAGCAAGAAAGGGCTGTGTATTAATGCCAAGAGAATAACAAAAGTTTAAGTCCTGCCCACAAGAAAGACACAGAAGGCTCTTGATGGAGGTGTGACTGAACCAAGAGGTAAAATCTGGCCCTCTGAATAGACTCTTAATAGGTTTCGTGGCTAACAGGTATTGAATTCAAAAGGGACTTCTTTTGATGCAAATTGAGAGCTGTTGGGATTACTTCAAGAGCAATTCCACCTGTGGGTGCTTGTCCCTCTCTAAGGGTGGCAAAGGAGGGAGCCCATGTGGACAGCAGGAACGGGTACACGATAGCACAAGAATCAAAACAAAGGCTCTCTGGTCGGAGTTTGTAAGCTGATTAGGGGTGTCATTTGACCCTTATTGGTACATTCTTGTTCTTTCGACTCAAGCCTGCAGCTCATCATGTCAAGGGTAGGGTGTCAGGACTGTGGCTGAAGATGAAGCAAGCAGCTCAGTGAAGCATGCACAGCAAAGGCGTGGAATCCACGTGGGGCAGGAGTGCTTTGTAAATTCCTCTGAAGAGGTTAGGATCGAAGCTTTTGGCAACTCACCTGTACTGTGTGATTACAGTGAATGCTGAGGCTGTAACTTTAACCTCTTAGCACTATGCCTTAGGCAGGTGAGTGCACTGTAGGTAGAAGGCTTCAGCATCTTTTACATTTTACATTTTATATAGCTTTTACATTTCTTTCTCTCACCTTCTCACAAAAGAGCCCAAAGAAAGGTTGATGTGGTTTGAATTCTGTCCCTCCAAATAAGATATGTTGAAGTTCCTAACTCCCCAGGACCTCAGAATGTGACCTTATTTGGAAATCGGGTCATTGCAGATATAATTAGTTCACTTAAGATGAGGTCATATTGGAGCAGAGTGTCCTTATAAGACAGCTATGCAAAGACAGACGCACACAGGGAAAACGCCATGTGATGAGGAAGGCAGAGGTGGAAGTTACACAGCTGCAAGCCAAGGGGAATGCCAGAGATTGCTAGCAAATCACCAGAGGCTACGAAGAGACACAGAAGGACTCCCCTGCAGCCCTGCTGCTAATACCTTAATTTCGCACTTCTAGCCTCCAGAACTGTGAGATATTTTATTTTATTATTATTATTATTATTATTATTATTATTTTTGAGACAGAGTCTCACTTTGTCACCCAGGCTGGAGTACAGTGGTGCCATCTCAGCTCACTGCAACCTCCGCCTCCCAGGTTCAAGCGATTCTCCTGCCTCAGCCTTCTGAGTAGCTGCGATTACAGGCCTGTACCACCATGCCCGGCTAATTTTTGTATTTTTAGTATTTTGTAATTCTGTATTTTTAGTAGAGACCAAGTTTCACCATGTTGGCCAGGCTGGTCTCGAACTCCTGACCTCAGGGGATCCACCTCAACCTCCCAAAGTGCTGGGATTACAGGCCTGAGCTACCCGCTTCTTCATTTAAGACATCCAGTTCCTGGCACTTTGTTATGGCTTACGGCAACCCTAGCAAACTGATACAAAGTCCTGACATCAGTATCTTGAATAATACTGCAGTAGATGTTCAGTATTTGTCTATTTACTCATGTTTGGCCAAAAAAGCAACTGAGTTACTGAGGCTGCTTAAGATAGTCAGTTTGCTGATCATACCTGTTACAATACTTACCTTCATTTTACCGCAAGTATGTTCAACAGCCATCCAGATTTCAGACTACACAAAGAACCTTGCAGGATGTAATGAAATGTAGCTCAGGACTCTTCTACCACAAACAAGACAGTGAGCCTGATTCTATATGTTTTACAATATTTAGATACATAGGGGAGCGGGTGAAAAAAATTAGATACAGTATTTTTTCATATGTTAAGAGTCTGAGGTTGGACTCAGACAAATAGAAAAAGCATCCATACCCTATCACTTGTTTGTGTTTTAAAATTAATATTATTTTTAATTGACAAGTCATAATTGTATACATTTATGGGGTACAATGTGATGTTTTGATAAATGTATACAATGTGGAATGATTTAAAGCAAGCTAATTAACATTTCCTTCACCCCACTTATTTTTGCAGTGAGAAATTTGAAACTTACTCTCTTAGCTATTTGAAGTATACAATACATTATTATAACTATAGTCATCCTGCTGTGCAATAGAGCTCAAAAATTTATTCCTTTCTAAGGGAAACAAATGTATCACCTTTAGAGTATCATACAGAGTAGTTGCACTGCCCTAAACATTCTCCCTGCTCTGCCTATTCACCCTTCCCTTCTTTTTTTTTGTATATATATACACATATATATACACATATGTACATATATACATATATACTTATATACACATATATACATATATACACATATATACATATATATTCATATATATGTGTATATATACATATATATATATATGAATGATGGGGTCTTAGATATAAACCCCCATCTATGTTGCTCAAGCTGGTCTTGAAATACTGAGCTCAAGCGATCCTCTCACCTCGGCCTCCCGAAGTGTTGGGATTACAGGCATGAGGCACCACGCCCAGCCCTTCTTAACCTCTGGCAACCACTAATCTTTCTACTGTCACTATGGTTTTTTCTTTTCCAGAATGTCATACAACCAGAGTCATATAGTCTTATGAGAGTTGCTTCTTTTACTTAGTAATATGCACTTAAGTTACTGCCATGTCTTTGTGTAGTTTGATAACTGATTTTCTTTTTAGCACTGAATACTATTTCATTGTCTGGAGGTACCAGTTTGTTTATCCATTCACCGACTGAAGGACATCTTGGTGGCTTTCAAGTTCTGGCAATTATGAATAAAGCTGCTATAAACATCTTTGTTCAGGTTTTTGTGTGGCCATGAGTTTTCAGCTCATTTGGGTAGATAACATGGAGTGCAGTTACTGGATTGTATGGTTAGTGTGTATTTAATTTTATAAGACACTACCAAACTGTCTTCCAAAGTGTCTGTACCATTTTGGGTTTCCACCAGTAATGAATGAGAGTTCCTTTTGCTCCATATACTCACCGGCATTTGGTGTTGTCAGAATTTTGGATTTGAGTCGTTCTAAAAGGTGTGCCGGCTGGGTACAGTGGCTCATGCACCCTCCCAAAGTGCTGGGAGGCCAAGACAGGTGGATCATCTGATGTCAGGAGTTTGAGACCAGCTTGGCCAACATGGTGAAATCCCGTCTCTACTAAAAATACAAAAAATTAGCTGGGCATTGTGGCAGGCACCTGTAATCCCAGCTACACGGGAGGCTGAGGCAGGAGAATTGCTTGAACCCAGGAGGCAGAGGTTGCAGTAAGCTGAGATAGTGCCATTGCACTCCAGCCTGGGCAACAAGAGTGAAACTCCATCTCAAAATTAAAAAAAAAAAAAAGTGTGCCACTTCTAGGAATTTAAGGTACATTTAAACTCCCACATGTGTAGAATGATAAATATATACAAAGAAACTTTCTGTAATATTGTTGGTAATAGCAAAAGACTGGAAACTACTTTCCAGCATTAGTGCATTAGTTACATAACTTGTAGTATACCCAGGCAATGGAAGACTATGCAATCCTCAGAAAGAACGAGGCAGCTCTACACATGCTCACTTGGTACCATACCCTAACATGTACAATTAAAAAGCAAGGTTCAGGATTGTGTGTACAGCATGCTATATTGCACACACAGGATGAATAGGCAAAGCACATATTACACAAATATGGCTATATTTGTATAAAAATTTAAAAATGTATCAATGTACACATACATGCACTTATACTCATGTGTTCATTGACTGTCTTTGGGAGGATACACCAAGATCTCTGGGGAGAAGTAAATAACTGAAGTATAAGGGTATGTGTTCCTTTGTAGCTTTCAAATTGTATACCATTTATTCAAAAATAAATTAATTTGATTAAAAAAATCAAAAATAATAAAAGATAACCTATATATTACAGAAAAAAGGGAAGAAAAGTGCAAAGATATCAAAGAATTGCTTGAAAAATACAAAGATTCCTAAATGCCAAGAGAAAATTTAAAAATAGCAAAGAAAACACATCACATGGGTGAAAACAAAGCAAATAATCATGTACACAGTAAAATTTTAACAAAAAATAAATAAATGGGAATGGGTTTAACCTATGAAATAAAAATATTTCCAATTTGGCTACAAAACAAGATCAACTATATTCTGTATGTAAGAAAAAGGATAAAAATACAGGAATGGGGAAATGAAAACAAGTGCTGTGGTATTTTTTTTTTGGGGTGGGGGATGTGGGGAACAGGGTCTCACTTTGTTATCCAGGCTGGAGGGCAATTGTGCAATGATGGCTCACTGCAGCCTCAACCTCCCAAGCTCACGTGATCTTCCTGCCTCAGCCTCCCAAGTAGCTGGGACTATAGGCACGCACAACTATGCCTGGCTACGGTTAGTTTTTGTATTTTTTTGTAGAGACGAGGTTTCGCCATGTTGCCCAGGCTGGTCTCGAACTCCTGGGCTCAAGTGATCCACCTTCCTCGGCCTCTCAAAGTGCTGGGATTACAGACATGAGCCATCATGCCCAGACTCTGCTGTGGTCTTGATATTAACGTAGAACTTAAGCCAAAATGCATCAAATGTGAAGAAGTACATGTTTTAAAGTAAAAGCCACAATTACCAACAATGAGTACCTTTGGAAGGAAAAATAACAGGAAATGCAAGGAGAAACGGAAGCACGCCAATGACAGCATGCTTTAACACGTCACTCTTAGAAGACAGACCAAGGTCGACTAAACGTGAGTGAGGACATACAAAATCTAAACAGCAAAATCAATAAGGTAGAGTTTATGGATATATATATTTAATTTTATACCCCAATAATAGAGATTCAAGTGCTAATAGAATGATCACAAAAAATGATCATGTATTATGTCACTAAAAAGCATAAGTTTCATAACAACACACTCTGATTACAATGCAATATAATTCAGAATTAATAAGAAATCAGAAGAGCACACTTAACAGCAGAATTTTTTAAAAAAATACATTTCTATTAAACAACTCTTGAAAGGGAAATTATGAATAAAAATTACAGAATTTAAATAAATAAATTATAATTTAAATACAAGTTGAGCATCCCTAATCCAAAAATTTTAAATCTGGGCTAGGCATGGTGGCTTGCACCTGTAATCCTAGCACCTTGGGAGGCTGAGGTGGGAGGATCATCTGAGGTCAGGAGTTCAAGTCCAGCCCAGCCTGGCTAACATGGTGAAACCTCGTTTCTACTAAAAATACAAAAATTAGCTGGGCATGGTGGCAGATGCCTGTAATCCCAGCTACTTGGGAGGCTGAGGCAGGAGAATTGCTTGAACCGGGGAGACGAAGCACAGGAACCCGAGAGGCAGAGGTTGCAGTGAGCCGAGATTGGGGTCACTGCACTCCGGCCTGGGGGACAGAGCAAGACTCCATCGCAAAATAATAATAATAATAATAATAATAATAATAATAATAATAATAATAAATAAAATAAAAGTTGAAATGCTCCCATATTCAAAACTTTTTGAGCACCAACATGAAGCCACAAGTTACCCTGAACATATTTTTTTTACTTTTTTTTTTTTTTTGAGACAGAGTCTTGCTCTGTCGCCCAGGCTGGAGTGCAGTGGTGCAATCTCAGCTCACTGCAACCTCTGCCTCCAGGGTCAAGCAATTATCATGCCTCAGCCTCCTGAGTAGCTGGGATTACAGCCACGTGCCACCACACCAGACTAATTTTTTGTTGTTGTTGTTTGTTTTGAGACAGGGTCTAGCTCTGTTGCCCGGGCTGGAGGGCTGGAGTGCAGTGGCACAATCTTGGCTCACTGCAACCTCTGCCTCCTGGGTTGAAACAATTCTCCTGCCGCAGCCTCCCAAGTAGCTGGGACTACAGGCATCTGCTACCATGCCCGGCTGACTTTTGTGGGGTTTTTTTTTTCAGTAGAGATGGGGTTTCACCATGTTGGCCAGGCTGGTCTCGAACTCATGACCTCAAGTGATCTGCCCACCTCAGCCTCCCAAAGTGCTGGGATTATAGGCATGAGCCGCCGCACCTGGCCCGGACTAATTTTTTTTTGTAATTTTAGTAGAGACAGGGTTTTATCATGTTGGCCAGGCTGGTCTCGAACTCCCGACCTCAGGTGATGTGCCTGCCTCGGCCCCTCAGAGTGCTGGGGTTATAGGCATGAGCCACGGCACCCGGCCTCTTTTACTGTATTAATAGTATCTTAGAGTACTTTTTTTTTTTTTTTAACTGTTTTTAGCTACTTACGTGTGAATAAGTATAAGAAAATGATTGCTATCGGTAGCATATATATTCAGTGTCATTTACATTCAGAATGATGGTAATGCTGAACAACCACAGGTGGTCCAATAAATGAATTTCATATTTAGACCTGGGTCCCATCCCCATGATATCTCATTATTTATATGCAAATATTCCAAAATCCAAAAATATCCAAAATTTGAAACACTTCAGGTTCCAAGCATTTTGGTTAAGGGCTACTCAACCTGTACTACATATATGAATCTGTAGGATGCATTTAAAGTAGTCATCAGAAGAATAGCAATAGCCTTAAACATTCATGTAAATAGAAGTAAAACAGGCCGGGCACTGTGGCTCACATCTGTAATCCCAGCACTTTGGGAGGCCAATGCAGGCCGACTGCTTGAGCCCAGGAATTCGAGACCAGCCTGGGCAACATAGTGAGACACCTATCTCTTTAATTTAATTTTATTTAATTATTTATTTATTTATTTATTTATTTTTTTGAGACGGAGTCTCGCTCTGCCGCCCAGGCTGGAGTGCAGTGGCGCGATCTCGGCTCACTGCAAGCTCCGCCTCCCGGGTTCACGCCATTCTCCTGCCTCAGCCTCCCCAGTAGCTGAGACTACAGGCGCCCGCCACCACGCCCGGCTAATTTTTTGTATTTTTAGTAGAGACGGGGTTTCACCGTGTTAGCCAGGATGGTCTCGATCTCCTGATCTCGTGATCCACCCGCCTTGGCCTCGAGAGGGGTCTCTATCACCCAGGCTGGAGTGCAGTGGCACGATCTCGGCTCACTGCAGCCTCCGCCTCCCAGGTTCAAGCAATTCTCCCACCTCAGCCTCCCGACTAGCTGGGATTACAGGGGCATGCCACCACGGGGTTACAGGGGCATGCTACCACGCCCGGCTAATTTTTGTATTTTTAGTAGAGATGAGGGTTCACCATATTGGCCAGGCTGGTCTCGAACTCCTTACCTCAGGTGATCCACCGGCGTCAGTCTCCCAAAGTGTTGCTATTACAGGCGTAAACCACCGCACCCAGCCGTCTTTTTTTAAATTTTAAATTAAAAAAACATATAACAATTTTTAAAAAGAAAACAATAAAAATTAATGAATTGTATTCTCAACACAAATAGCTAGAAAAATAACCAAAAAGTAAATCAAAAGAAAGCACAATGTGAAGAAAAAGAGGCGAGAACGACCCCCGAACCAACCAAAGCCCGCGCGCCGCTGCATCCGGCGCCCACGCCCACGTCCCACTGCCGTCGCCACCGCCGCCGAGATCATTTCCAAGAGAAAGGCTGAAGGGGATACTAAAGGAGGAGATAAAGCCCAGGTGAAGGACGAACCACAGAATAGATCCGCGAGGTTGTCTGCTAAACCTGCTCCTCCAAAACCAGAGCCCAAGCCTAAAAAGGCCCCTGCGTAGAATAGAGAGACAGTACCCAAAGGGAAAAAGGGAAAAGCTGTTGCTGGCAAGGAGGGGAATAACCCTGCAGAAAATGGAGATGCCAAAACAGACCAGGCACAGAAAGCTGAAGGTGCTGGAGATGCCAAGTAAAGTGTGTGCATTTTTGATAACCGTGTACTTCTGGTGACTGTACAGTTTGAAATACTATTTCTATCAAGTTTTATAAAAATGCAGAATTTTGTGTTAATTTCTTCTTATTATTTTTTAAGCTATGTTGTTAGCACACAGAACACTTCATTGTTGTTTTGTTGGGGAGGGGCATATGTCACTAATAGAATGTCTCCGAAGCTGGATTGATGTGGGGAAAACACCTCTCCCTTCTAGTTTTGAGAGACTTCCTCTTGGCTCCCAGGAGGAGGGATTCCTGGACTTTGACACACATGGCCACCTTGGCACAAAAGCCTTGTGGTATGGAAAAACAAATACGTCCTTATGTCCTCTTCTCCCTTTCCATCTTTCAGCATACACTTAACTCCCTTAAGCCCAGACATCTGTTAGGACCTACCCCCAGTCATTGGTTACCAGTGTGTCAGGCAACCTGGACTTTCCAGTGATGCCACTGAGGTGGCACCTGTCAAAAGAGCAGTGGTTCCATTTCTAGACTGTGGGTCTTCAGAAAAATTCTGCCATTGTCATTTCACTTCCTGAAAGTTAGGGTTGGCTTGTGAAAAGTTGTTAAACAACAGGCTAAACATGAAATGTCAACCCTCACTCTAAACTTTCCCTGTTCAGAACATCAGATGAAGACTTCACTGGGTTTTATAGTGGCTTTCTGATTTTTGGTAGGCCATTGAAGAAGGGAGTTTGAAAGTTGTTGTATACTGTTAACGATTGTCTGCCCATGTCCTGCCTGAAATATCATGATTGCTTATGGAAAGTATTTTTAATAAAGCTGGATACAGTTTGGCTTGGGAAAAAAAAAGAAAGCACAAGGAAGGGAATAATGAAATAAAAGCAGAAACTAATGAGATGGAGAATAGAGAAATAGCAGACAAAATACGGTTTAAACAAAATACTGTTTTTTGGGAAATAAAAACAACAAAGCATTCAAACCATTGACTTAATTAATAAAAAAAGGAAGAAAGACCAAATGAAGTCATGTGCTACAAAACAACAACATTCTGGTTAACAATGGATGACATACAGAACAGCGGTCCCATAAGACTGTAACACCATAATTTTTTTTTTTTTTTTGAGACGGAGTATATCTCTGTCGCCTAGGCTGGAGTGCAGTGGTATGATCTCGGCTCACTGCAACCTCTGCCTTCCGGGTTCAAGCAATTCTCCTGCCTCAGCCTCCCGTGTAGCTGAGATTACAGGCACCTATCATACCCGGCTAATTTTTGTGTTTTTAGTAGAGACGGAGTTTCGCCATGTTGGCCAGGCTGGTCTCGAACTCCTGACCTCAGGTGACCCAGCTGCCTCAGCCTCCCAAAGTGCTGGGATTACAGGCATGAGCCACCGTGCCCGGCCATGTAACACAGTATTTTTACGATACTTTTTCTATCTTTAGGTATCTATCTTTAGATACAAAAATACCATTGTGTTAAAATTGCCTACAGCATCCAGTACAGTCACATGCTATACAGGTTTATAGCCTAGGAGCAATAGGCTATACCATATAGCCTAGGTATGTAGTAGGTTATATCATCTAGGTTTGGGTAAGTGCACTCTATGTTTGCACAGTGAAATTGCTTAATGATGCATTTCTCAGAATGTATCCTTGTTGTTAAGTGACACGTGACTTCCTTTTTTGTAGAGTAGGAGTCTCATTATGTTGCCCAGGCTGGTCTCAAACTCCTGGGCTCAAGTGATCCTCCCACCTGGAGCTCCCAAAGTGCTGAGATTACAGGCATGAGGCACTGTGTTCATATCTGTATGATGAGCATATCTTATGAAACCTCATAGAGATTTGCATATCTGCAAAACAAGATACGATGAGGGAGAAATACTTGTTGAGAAGAAATTTATAAAACCGTAAGAGGGCTGGGCCAAGTGGCTCATGCCTATAGTCCTAGAACTTTGGGAGGAGGGCAGATTGCTTGAGCTCAGGAGTTCGAGACCAGCCTGGGCAACATGGCAAAACCCTATCTCTACAAAAAATACAACAAAAATTAGCTGGACCTCGTGGTGTGCACCTGTAGCCCAGGAGGTTGAGGCTGCAGTGAGCCAAGATTGTGCCTCTGCACTCCAGCCTGGGTGACAAAGTGGGACCATTTCCCCCCCCGCAAAAAAGAAAATCAGAGACATTTTGCAAATCACGATGTACATACATTTGAAAATGTTCATGAACTAGATAGTTATATAGGAAATCACAGTTCACCAGAATTTTCTAGTGATAGAAAACGTAAGCAGACCAATTTCTTTTTTTCTTTTCTTTTTTTTTTTTTGAGATGGAGTTTCACTCTTGTTGCCCAGGCTGGAGTGCAGTGGCGCTATCTTGGCTCACTGCAACCTCTGCCTCCCAGGTTCATGCAATTCTCCTGCCTCAGCCTCCCGAATAGCTGGAATTACAGGCACCCGCCCCCATGCCCGGCTAATTTTTGTACTTTTAGTAGAGACGGGGTTTCTCCATGTTGGCCAGGCTGGTCTCAAGCTCCTGACCTCAGGTGATCCGCCCGCCTTGGCCTCCCAAAGTGCTGGCATTAAAGGAGTGAGCCACTGCACCCAGCCTATATGCCTTAGTTCTAAACCAGCATTTTAGAGAGAAACACTAGAGGCATGTTTATTAAAATCAGGAACAGGAAAGGGCACTGAGTGTCCATGAAGATGAGCCCATGTGTGGCATCCATCTCTGGCAATATGGCCAGTCCATTTATGTGCCTATGTTTCCACTCCTGGGGTGGCTGATGACAAGGGCTGGCTAATGTCAACAGGGGGAGTCACTTTGTCTGTGCAGTTATCGGTGCGTCTTCAGAGGTGGATGCTTTCTGCTGAGCACAGCATGTACTTCAGAGATCATCCCTCTTTTTACCTATTCCCATATGCCCACCCAAATGCCTTTTCCCCAGACCTCCATGTCCCTGGCCTTCCAGATTCCTGACACAGGTCACTTGCTGCTTCCCATGAGTCCAGATGTATTTTTTTTATCTTGGGCTGCTTTTCTTTCTACACGACACACATACCCAGGTGCATGCTCAATGTTTTGCCCCTTGGGAAGGGTTCCTCTTTCCACTGTCTTTCAAGGTCACTCCAGAGTGTGGCTACCGTGGCGCTGCCATCCATCTGTGGCTTGAACTTACTCACTGAGCCAACCCAAGATAAGTCAATTTTGCGCATTTTCTTCCTGCTTCAACTGGTTGTATGAGACCCTCCCCTCTTTGCATATGGCCATTAGTGAAAGTTGAGGAAGGGGTACTGGTGTGACCATGGTGGATGACCAAGGTCTGGCTACCTGCTCATGTGGCTTACCTGTACCCTGTTGTCCTGCTTGGGCTTGATCCAGATGTATGATTTCCATTTTATGATAGATTGTCTCTGGGCTTGCCTGATCTTATGATTTGATGAGTTTGTCAGAAGCCAGAAGTCATGACTAGCAGTTCTGGATTCACAGGCACTTGCTCTTCCATGGTCAAACATTCAGTCTCTTCCAGGGCCCAGTAACAGACAGGATATCCTTGTTCCAGGTCCCCCAAGCCTGCACTGTGACTCTCCCTCTAGAGCCTGACATCAACTCCTCACTGAATCTCCTCCACCATTGATTAAACTCCTTACTGAATCTCCTCCACCATTGATACCTCCAGCATCTTTGGGCCTGCTGAACCATATGGTCCAAAGCAAGGCTTCTTTGCCTGCAGCCTGGGCCTTCTGCAGAGCTCCTTCCTGCTCTAGGCCGCATTCAAAGTGAGGAGCGTTCTGTGTCACTTGGCATATGGACTGGAAAAGTAGTCCTGAGTGTGGAACTGTTGCCTCCAGGATCCAGTCAGGCTTCATTCTTTGTGGTGAGGGATGGAAGAAGTAGCAATTTGTCTTTTACTTTGCAGGAGTATCCCAGCATGCCCCTGACCGCCATACTCCTAAATACCATATTGATGAGGCAAGCCCCTAAATCTTTCTATGGTTTATCTCTCACCTTCCAAAGTGGGTCTTACAGAGGGCTTACGGCACGCCTCCAGCATGTTTGCCACTTCTTGCTCATACTGCTGGGATCAGCATGATGTCATCATTTTAATATACCAATGTTTTGAGGGATGTAAAGAACTCTGCTGCAATCTCTTTTAAGCATAGACACTCTTGTTAGAGAGCACTTGTTAGAGGATGAATTATGTTCCCTGCAAAAGTTCATATGTTGAAGTCTTAATCCCCAGTACTTCAGAATGTGACTGTATTTGTAAAGGGCCTTTAATGAGGTAATTAATGTTAAATGAGGCCATTAGGGTGGGCCCTAATCCAATATAACTGGTGTTCTTATAAAAAGAAATTAGGACACAGATGCACACAGAAGGAAGCCCATGTGAAGATACAGGGAGAAGACAGCCATCTGCAAGCCCAGGAGAGAAGCCTCAGGAGAAACCACCCCTGCTGACACCTGGATCTCGGACTTCCAGCCTCTAGAACTGCGAGAGAATAAATTTCTGTTGATTAACCCACCCAGTCTGTAGTACTTTGTTATGGCAGCCCTAGACTAATATAGCACTGATTACGATCATCAGGCAGCAGAAAAAACATCTTTCAGTGGATTACTTAAGAGAGAGCATTTAAAATCACAAACTTAAGAAAGTACTGATACTATGTATTGTTTTTTATGTCTTTTTTGTTAATTTTTTGACATAGGGTCTCACTCTTTCACCCAGGCTGTAGTGCAATCATAGTTCACTGCAGCCTTGACCTCCTGGGCTCAAGTGATTCTCCTGCCTATAGGTGCATGCCACCATGCCTGGCTAACTTTTAAAAAAATTTTAGTAGAGATGAAGTCCCCCTTTGTTGTCTAGGCTCTGATACTGTGTATTGGAATAGAGAAAAAGCGACATCTATCAGCTCTTTGCTTGTAGTGGTGTTATTTACAACCAGAGACTTTGATTATAGCTGAAATAGGCTTTAGACATGATTGCCTAAACTTTCCAATTCACATGTGAGGAAATGGAAACCCAGAGAAGTGACTTTTGCTGGACTGATGTTATCAATGGTAATTTACTGAATGCTTTTCATAAGCTAACCTATTATATATCTAATATAATTTATTTATTATTTTTCTGTTTTTTGAAACAGGATCTTGCTCTGTCACCCATGCTGGAGAGTCTTGCTCTTTCACC
This sequence comes from Homo sapiens, assembly GCF_000001405.40. Taxonomy (NCBI): domain Eukaryota; kingdom Metazoa; phylum Chordata; class Mammalia; order Primates; family Hominidae; genus Homo; species Homo sapiens. The sequence continues at coordinate 229,575,966 of NC_000001.11, forward strand.
CAGGTTGGAGTGCAGTGGTGTGATAATAGCTCACTGTAGCCTTGAGCTCCTGGGTTCAAGCAATCTTCTGCCTCAGACTCCTAGGTAGCTGGGACTACAGGTGTGCACTACCACATCCTATTATGACCCAGGCGTGACCTCCATCATCCAGGCATGACCCTGTCATTTTTTTTTTTAAGAGACAAGATCTTGCTATGTTGCCCAGGCTGGTCTTGAACTCCTGGCCTCAAGTGATCCTCCCACCTTGGCCTCCCAAAGTGCTGGTATTATAGGTGTGAGCCACTGAGCCTGGCACTAATATAATTTTTATCATATCATCAGCCTGATAATCTGCATTTTACAGATGAGGAAACAGAGGCACAGAAATCATACATGGTTTGCTCAAGTAGTTCATGGCCCTGGGATGTAGATGGGTCTGACTCCAGACATGTGCTGTCAGTCACAGTGCTGCCCCAAGCTGCTCTGCAGTGAGGACCTTGCTCTTCCCACCCACCCTCCTGCCTTTTTGGGAGCTGTAGCTTGAGTTAGGGGGTTTACAATTTAATAAATGGATTCCTTGAGGCCCTAGAACATTCAAATACCTGGAAAGGTTGGCTACTTCCTCACTGATTATGTCAGGCTCACAAAAAGGCAGAAAAACATGGCAAATATCTCCACTATAAGATGTGTGTTTTTCTTTTTTCTTCCTTTTTTTTTTGAGATGGAGTTTCGCTCTTGTTGCCCAGGCTGGAGTGCAATAGCACGATCTCGGCTCACCACAACCTCCGCCTCCTGGGTTCAAGTGATTCTTCTGTCTCAGCCTCCCGAGTAGCTGGGATTATAGGCAAGCGCCACCACGCCCGGCTAATTTTGTGTTTTTAGTAGAGACGAGGTTTCTCCATGTTGGTCAGGCTGGTCTTGAACTCCTGACCTCAGGTGATCTGCCTGCCTCGGCCTCCCAAAGTACTGGGATTATGGGTGTGAGCCACCGTGCCCGGCCAACAATGTGGTCTTAAAGCGCTACAAGAGTGATTAAGGAAAATAGTTGGCCAAGCTGATGTTATGGCTTTGTTTGGGGCCATATCATCTGATCAGATCACATAAAACATGACAAAAATAAGATTTAAGTTTCAGACTAAGTGATGAAATTTGCCATAAAACTTGATTTTGAGCAACGTTTTAAAGAAATTCAGTTTAAGAGAGAGAGGAAATTTGTTTATTCTTATTAGTCTAGATCCAGGGCATTAATGTTAATGGGGATTTGTTAAACTGTTGGGCATATTTATCAAGAAATAGCAAAACCCAAATCAAAACAATTTATCAGGCAGGCTTAGCAAACATTTCAATTTAACAGATGTCTGAGTAGCTATCATGTGCAAGGTCAGCCTCTCTGTTAACTGAAAAATGGAGGTACCAATTGAACAAATCTGGATGTGTGATATTCACTCTCCATCAAATAGGCCTCATAACTTCTTCCTGAAGTGGGTGCCATCTAGGAGCAATTAGAGGGCTTAGTTGAAGTAGTGCTAAGTGTAACAGCATTTTATATTCGCTCATAGTTTCTGAACTGCACTTAAACACTCTCCTCTTGCCGGGTGCGGCGGCTCACGCCTATAATCCCAGCACTCTGGGAGGCTGAGGTGGGCGGATGACCTGAGGTCAGCAGCTTGAGACCAACCTGGCCAACATGGTGAAACCCCGTCTCTACTAAAAATACAAAAATTAGCCGGGCGTAGTGGTGGGTGCCTGTAATTCCAGCTACTAGGGAGGCTGAGGCAGGAGAATCGCTTGAACTCGGGAGAGGCAGAGGTTGCAGTGAGCCGAGATCGCACCACTGAACCCCAGCCTGGGCAACAGAGACTCCATCTCAAACAAAACAAAACAAACAAAAAAACACTCTCCTCTTTGAATTTGCAGAACACTGAATCTAGAGGTAGGAGGCTATGCTCCACCACCCAAAGTGATTGCCAGTTTCTCTGCCAGGAGTACTTTGGGTATTCTTCATTAAGAGGCTAGATCCATGGTATTACTGTCCAAAGGAATTTCTTAAACTATTGCACACACAAGCAGGAGAATCTAGAGCAAACATTGCTGATGTTCAACCTACTAGCAAACATTTCCATTCAATGATGTTGAGTCCCCACTATGAGCAAGGCATCTATTCACTGAAAAATGGAGTTATCAGGTGAACACCACCTCTACCTAACTGATCAATGAATCTCTGGTATCTAGCACAATGCCTGGCACACAATATATATTTTTACAAGTGGTAGTTTTTATTATTCCCTGATTTCTTTTTCTCCTTCCTTCCTTTCTTCTCTTTTCTTTCTTTTTTCTTTCTTTCTCTTTCTTTCTTTTTTTCTTTTTCTTTCTCTTTCCTTCCTCCCTTCCTCCCTTCCTTCCTTCCTCTTTCTTTTCCTTCCGTCCTTCCTTCGCTTCCTTCCTTCCCTCCCTCCCTCTTTTTCTCTTTCTCTCTTTCTTTCTTTCTTTCTTTCTTTCTTTTTTTCTTTCTTTCTCTTTTTCTTTTTCTTTCTTTCTCTTTCTTCAGTCTCACTCTGTTACCCAGGCTGGAGTGCAGTGGCATAATCTCAGCTCACTGCAACCTTCGCCTCCTGGGTTTTCAAGCGATTCTTCTGTCTCAGCCTCCCAAGTAGCTGGGATTACAGGCATGCACCACCATGCCTGGCTAATTTTTGTACTTTTTTAGTGGAGGTGGGGTTTCGCCATGTTGCCCAGGCTGGTCTCGAACCCCTGACCTCAGGTGATCCGCCCGCCTCGGCCTCCCAAATTCCTAGGATTACAGGCGTGAGCCACCATGCCCAGACCCTGATTTCTTCTTGTGTCTACTCCCACCCTCCCTCTGAAAATGTCCCAGAGCCCAAGAATCTATTAGCATTTGACTATAGCTTTGTTTTAGCTTCACATTGATTGTAATCTAAGGGCAAATCTGCTGCCACGGTGTGGCAGCAAAGAAATGAAAGGAAGTGTCTGGCAGCGCAGGGGAGAAATTGTGTTTCCTCCTTCTCCAAAGGTTCACCTTTTCTATTTCACCTTCATCATTCATAAGAAGGTGAAAGGATGCCAGGAGCAAGGCGGATCTACGGGACTTTTGAAAAGAAATGTACTGACCTTTGGCTGTAAAAACTGTGTCATGAGAACAGAAAGCCCTGAGAGAAGAAGTCAGAAAATAGAGAAAAGGGGAAGGGAAAATAACTCCTGGCCTGCCTCCAATTCATTTAAATATTGCTCAGAGCTCAGCAGAGCGGGATGAGAGACACTGGCAAGAGGCTGTGCTGCAGTAAATGAGAGAATCTCAGGTGTCCTTATAATGGCCCTGTTATGGATCGCAGCTTGGATGAGCACTTCACATAAATGCAAGGCCATTTCAGGACTCCCCAGCTGCAGTCAGCAGGCCCTCTGTATGCTTTGGCGTCTGCAGCTGGAAGGAAGCCTGCACAGCTCCCTTCTGTCCTCTCATTGTTCACAGGACAGCCATTCATGGGATCTATGGCGCACTCTGTGCTAGGGCAGAATGCCAGGGAAGAGCTGCCTGTCTTCAGCGCCCTTGCTGGGAACCACACGCCAGAACCCGACCCTGCCATGCTTTGTGCTTCAGGCAGCAGGACCCCACCCCTAACAGAGTCTCAAGTCAGACACTAAGCGATGATCACGACTTGGGAACTCAGCCAGGAAAGAAAAGACATACAGCTTGAAAACAATGTGGGAAATGGCTGAGAAAGAGAGGAAGATAAGAAATAAAGAGGGCTCTCTGAAGAGTGAGCTGAACTTTGGTTGTGACAGGTTCTCAATAGTACCAAAATCCATGAACTTTTTTTTTGAGGATTCAAAAAAGTTTATAATTAAAGAGAAATGCTTCTAATTAAGGAGACAGTTTTCTGTCTTTTGGGAGATGGGGTTTGTTTGTTTGTTTTTGATTTCTCTGTTATGCCTTTATATAATGAGCCCTTAACAAAGGTAATGATCATGAAGTAGATTACTACATGTACAGCACACTATGTTTCTGGGCATTTACTTATAGCTTGATATCTCCCCAAATTGCTTTACCTTTTTCTTCTTAGCTTGAGCAGAAATTACAGTATCTTGTCCCTCATTATACTTACCTATGGTTTTATTTATTATTATTTTTTCAGTTGGAGTTGCACTCTTGTCGCCTGGGCTGGAGAGCAATGGCGTGATCTCGGCTCACTGCAACCTCTGCCTCCCAGGTTCAAGTGATGATTCTCCTGCCTTAGCCTCCTGAGTAGCTGAGATCATAGGCGCCTGCCACCATGCCCAGCTAATTTTTGTATTTTTAGTAGAGACAGGGTTTCACCATGATGGCTGGGCTGGTCTCGAACTCCTGACCTCAGGCGATCCACCTGAGTCAGCCTCCCAAAGTGCTGGGTTTACGGGCATGAGCCACCACGCCCGGCCTATTCTTCTTTTTTTAAATCTAAATTTTATTTTTAGAGACAGGGTCTCACTCTGTTGCACAAGCTGGAGTGCAGTGGCACAATCATGGCTCACTGCAGCCTTGAACTTCTGGGCTCAAATGCTACTCCCACTTCTAACTCCTGAGTAGCTGGGACTATAGGCACATGCCACCATGTCTGGCTATTTTTTAATTTTTTTTTTCTTTTTTTTTTTTTGTAGAGACAGGGTTTCATTATTTTGCCCAGGCTGGTCTCGAACTCACGGCCTCAAGCAATCCTCCCAAAGTTCTGGGATTACAGGCATCAGCCACCGCACCTGGCCTGGTTTTATTCTGGGAGGCAAAAGTATTTTACCAACATAAATTTATGAGCCATCGGAACAACCTGTGAGTTAATTCAGATTTGAACTTTGTTTTATAGAAAGTCACAAACTTTGAAATATTGATAAATCCAGTAATATTGGCTTAATCAAGAAAGAGCATTTTATGGCATGGAGTAGGTAGGCATTAAAAATTGCCTTTCAAAAAAATTTTGGATACACTTTTATGAGCATAAGTCTCATTTTAAAAAACATCAAAAGAAACAAGAATAATTCAAAACACAAAAGTTGGTGCATTGAGTTAATATTTGCGACCCTCTTCCAATAAATTCATCCTTAAAAGTCCTACAGACAGTTGAGCTGAAGTCTCCTCAAAGTCAAAAGGAACCCAGACTGCAGTTTTGTTTCATGAATGAATAGCTATCTTTTGCCACACATTCATTTACTCAATCATTCAATAAGCATTATTGAATTACTGCCAATTATAGGCCGTTGCATCTTACTTTTTCAATTTTGGGGGGTAACGACTTTATTGAATTCACATACCATACAATTCCTCTTCTTAAAATGTACAACTCGGCCAGGCACAGTGGCTCACGCCTATAATCCCAGCACTTTGGGAGGCTGAGGCGGGCGGATTACCTGAGGTCAGGAGTTCAGGACCAGCCTGATCAACATGGCATAATCCTGTCTCTACTAAAAATACAAAAATGAGCTGGGTGTGGGGGTGCATGCCTGTAATCCCAGCTACTAGGGAGGCTGAGGCAGGAGAATTGCTTGAACCTGGCAGCCAGAGGTTGCAGTGAGCCGAGATGGCATCATTGCACTCCAGCCTGGGCAACAAGAGTGAAACTTGTCTCAAACAAACAAACAAACAAAAAAGTACAACTCAATGGTTTTAAATATATTCAGTATTGAACAAATATCACCAAAATCAATTTTCATTACCTCAAATGACCTTCCAAATTTAACGTTTTCGCAAGGCAAAATTGCTGACTTTCCTATATTTTTAGTAAGAGATGAGACTTTTCACTTACTATTTCTAAGTTACATTATGGTGTCATTTGACTATTAAAGTTTAACCCTCTTAAATGCTACTTCAATTATTTTCTTCCCTCAGACTTGAATTTAATTTTTTATATGATCTAAGGAAGCAGAGGGTTTTACATAATAACTACATGCATACCTATGAAGGGTGCTTTATCTTTTCTTCAATTTTTTATCCTGGGAAAATATAATCACATACAAATTACCATTTTAACCATTTCCCTTCATTTTATCACTTGATTTCTCAAAATATCACAACTCTCTCCACCTCCCAAACCCACTGTCAATTTAGACTGAGCATCTTCTTGCACAGCCAAAAGCAGAACAAAGCGTCAAGGAAAGGAGGGAGCTGGACTGCAGCTTAGCGGAACCAGAGGCCAGGTCCGGTTGTGCTCTTGAATCCCTGCTGCCCAGCAGAGCGGCTGACGTAGCTGGTGACTAGAGGAGTGAATACGGTGGTGGATCTCAGCCAGGAAGGTCGGGAAGGAGAGCAAAATCCCAGAGAGGACCCAGTCAAGCCCGGCAGGCTCTCCTTCCTCCTGCACTGTTCTGGCACAGTTCCACCTCTATATTTTGAAGAAGTTCCTCCAGATGATTGCGTTATTGTGAAGCAGGAAAACATTAATATTGAGTATGTGCTGTGGGTGGGGCCTATATTCTTTATGTCATTTACTCTTGCCAACACACCTGGTAGGTATAAATATGTCCACATTCATAGGTGAGCCAACAGGCTCAGGGAGGCCAAGGACTTACCCAATGCCACGGCATATCTCACTCGAGCTGGAATTCAACAGCACATGTCACCTCTCAGGCCTTAGCATTCCATACTCTGCAAATAAACACTGGATCCCTCTCCCTGCACCAGCCCAAACTCAGCAAGCCAACTAAAACACCCTCCCTTCCTCCCTAAAAAGCCCAGCTTTCTTTCTATAGATGTGTGCATTTCATAATATTTAAATTCAGTGTCTGCAATGCTGCAGAGAGTAAATTGTGCATACTATGGTTTTTCCTAGACCAGATTGACAGCAAAGGCTGCTGAGCTATGAGAAAATCAAGTCCAGGCAAAAGGAGTTAGAATTACTGTGATTTTTACCAGACAATAGCCTGCATCAGTTGAGCTCTCTAGAGTCCATCACCTTCTTGTTTGTTTGTTTGTTTATTTATTTATTTATTTATTTATTTATTTATTTAGAGACACAGTCTCACTGTGTCACCCAGGCTGGAGTGCAAAGGCGCAATCTCGGCTCTCTGCATCCTCCACCTCCCAGATTCAAGCGATTTTCTTGCCTCAGCCTCCTGAGTAGCTGGGATTATAGGCACGCACTACCACACCTAATTTTTGTAGAGATGGGGTTTCACCATGTTGGCCAGGCTGGTCTCGAACTCCTGGCCTCAAGTGATCCACTCACCTTGCCCTCCCAAAGTGTTGGGATTTCAGGTGTGAGCCACAACGCCTGTCTCACCCTCTTGTTTTAAAAAAGACTGTTATCAAAGCTCAGTGTTGTGAACAAAGCCTGATGCATAAGTATTAATCTGAGTGAACCAAAATAAGCCACATTGGCTAAAATGAGTGTAGACTGAATGGGCTCATAAGCTTGTTCTTTTATTTACAACCTACCTCCCTGTCTCTTTTCTTTCCTTCTTCCCACATGGAACACTGAGGAAGAGCCTTGGTAATTCAAGGCCAGGCCTGCCCCCAGGACTTCTGACCCCAGTCTACTCCACTGCCAGCCTCTTGTCCCCACTTTGCACACAGCTTATCAGCATTCAGATGGTCCCTACTGCCCTTTCCAGCTTGCAAATAATGGCCTCACTAGTGAGCCATGGAATTAATTAGTGGGTAGTGACCAATATTAAAAATTTTACTTCACAGTACATCTCGCATAGAAATGGTTTATTTATTTATTTATTTATATATTTTTTGAGACAGAGTCTCACTCTGTTGCCCAGGCTGGAGTGCAGTGGCACAATCTCAGCTCACTGCAACCTCCGTCTTCTGGGTTCAAGTGATTCTCATGCCTCAGCCTCCCAAGTAGCTGGTATTACAGGTGCGCACCACTGTGCCCAGCTGATTTTTGTATTTTTAGTAGAGACGGGGTTTCACCATGTTGGCCAGGCTGGTCTAGAACTCCTGGCCTCAAGTGATCCACCCGCCCCAGCCTCCCAAAGTGCTGGGATTACAGGTGTGAGCCACTGCACCTGGCCAGAAATGGTTTTCTTATATACTACCCTTTGTTGAGCCTCATATGTAATTTAAAAATTTGGGGGAACATTTCTGAAATCAGGAGAGAATAGGACTTATAACGGGATGGCATCTTGCCAGAGGGTGGTTGTGACATTTGAAGTGGGTTGTTAGTCCAGGTGGCAGGACTGCACCACTGCCTTCTTCATCAGCTTGGTCAGAAAAATATTGAATGACAATTTAAGGAAGGAATATAAAGCACGAAAGTCTCTGTTAACACCTTCTGCTAAGATCAAGGTTTCGGGGAGCACAGAGAGGAATAGTTAGACACTGACGACCAACTCAAAAAGTTGGACTTGGTGTGAAGAAGTTTTAGGAATACCAATACTAGTGGATTTCACTTATATTATAAAAACAATGTACGGTCTAAAGGAAAGGGCTTTAAATAAGCATAAAATAAGCTGGGTATGCTGGAGTGCATCTGTAGTCCCAGCTACTCAGGAGGCTGAGGCAGGAGGAGTGCTTGAGCCTAGGAGTTTGAGACCAACCTAGACAATCTAGTGAGGCCCTGTCTCTTAAAAAAAAAAAAAAAAGCAAACACAGACATAAAATAAAATTAACTTCTAAGTGAAGAGAAAGCATTCTTCATCATCTAATTGACAGTTTTAAAAAATGGTACATAAGATAACGGCGCATCTTCTAATCAAAGGAGTCTCAGATTCAGTAAACATAGCATATGTGTATGTCAGGACACAGTGTGAAATACATTTGTTACTGTGGGTTGAAGTCTACAAATGTGGGTTGAAGTGGGTTGAAGTCTACAAGTGTGAAAGTCCCTGCTCTAGAACCTTCATTAAAACAAATACATAAAACCAAACAAAACCAATGAGCAGACAGAACAATTATTTCTTGCTTCCATACCACCTTCAGTAATGTCTTCATCTCTGCTCCCCTCAGCTGCCTGAAATTGTCTGCAACCCCAAAACCTCTCTCCACTCCTCATCTCCTTCTTACTCTTTTTTTTTTTTTTTTTTTGAGATGGAGTCCTGTTCTGTTGCCCATGCTGGGGTGCAGTGGTGTGATCTCAGCTCACTGCAGCCTCTGCCTCTTGGGTTCAAGTGATCCTCCTGCCTCGGCCTCCTGAGTAGCTGAGACTACAGGCATGTGCCACCATACCTGGCTAATTTTTGTATTTTTTGGTGGAGTTGGGGTTTCACCATGTTGGCCAGGCTGGTCTCGAACTCCTAACCTCAGGTGATTCACCCGCCTCGGCCTCCCAAAGTGCTGAAATTACAGGTGTGCACCACTGTGACCAGCCTAATGTGGTTAAATTTAAATGAATAAAATAAGAAAATCAGTTGCTCAGTTGTACGAGCAATATTTCAAGTGCTCAGTAGCTACACATGGCTAGTGGCTATTTTGCTGGACAGCAGAAATTACAGAACATTCCCATCCTCATGGCACATTCTGCAGGACAGGACAGAACTCCAGAACATTCCCATCCTCACATCACATTCTACAGGACAGGACAGAGCTGTAGAACATTCCTCTATTGCAGTCACATTCTACAGGAAGGCACACAACAACATAACAGTCCCCTCCTTGCATCACATTCTACAGGAAGGAGCAGACCTGCAGAGCATTCCACAACCACAGCACATCGTACTGGGCTTGCTCTCTCTAGACACTACTTTGCTGTTGCTTGTGTTTTACAAGCGTCTTTTCACATTCTGTAGCATGCCTTCTCACTCTTTTTGTGGTGTCTTTGAGTAAGAGATGGTTTACAATTGAATCCATCTTTCCCTTTTGGTTAGTGCCTTTTCATTTCTTTAGAAATTTCCGGCCAGGCGCGGTGGCTCACACCTGTAATCCCAGCACTTCGGGAGGCAGAGGTGAGCGGATCACCTGAGGTCGGAAGTTCAAGACCAGCCTGACCAACATGGAAAAACCCTGTGTCTACTAAAAATACAAAATTAGCTGAGCGTGTTGGCACATGCCTGTAATCCCAGCTACTCGAGAGGCTGAGGCAGGAGAATTGCTTGAACTTGGGAGGTGGAGGTTGTGGCAGGTGGATTACCTGAGGTCAGGAGTTGGAGACCAGCTTGGCCAACATAGTGAAACTCCATCTCTACTAAAAATAAAAAAATTAGCTGGGCATGGGGGTGGGTGCCTGGAATCCCAGCTACCAGGGAGGCTGAGGCCGGAGAATCGCTTGAACCCAGGAGGCGGAGGTTGGAGTGAGTTGAGATCGTGCCATTGCACTCCAGCCTGGGCAACAAGAGCAAAACTCCGTCTCAAGAAAAAAAAAAGAAAAAAGAAATTTCCTCCTGTTTCAAGGTCACAGGGATACTCTTTTTAGTGCCTCATAGTTTCATACAACCTTCTTCTGTTTTTCTTCCTTTGTTGGCTACTCCTTTCTGACCTCTGAGTTTTAGTGGACTCCAACAGCATACGTCTAAGTTCTCATCCCTTCTCACTCTATCCTGTTATCCTTGGTCATCACATTTATTTGCAAGGCTTCAAATTCCAATTACATGCCAGTGACTCTTGGGGAAGATATTGTGCTTGACTCCAACGTTCACTTTTCCCCCATTATGTCAGGATTGGGGGACTGCCCTCAACTTATTACAAGCTAATATGGCTATACCTTGTCAGGTACTGGTTCAATGACTGAAGGCCTAATCCAAACTGGAGAGGTTTAACGGGCTGCTCTTAAGAGTGAAGAATAGGAAGTGAGCTCACACTCCCCCTAGACATGAATGAGGACTGTCTGGCCCTAGTCACAGTTGGTAGCCCTCTCACAACCATGGGAAAAGCCAGCCACAGAAGAGGGCAAAGGTGAACAGAGGTGGGCTCATAGTGAGTTGCACATGAAACCCACCTGAGCCCTCAGACTTTCCATTATAGCGAACCAGTAAAATCCTTACTTAAAAAGGCCACCTGAAGTCAGATTTCGGTCCCTTGTAGCAGAAAGCACTCAAATGGAAACAATTCCCAAATGAGCACAAGCCCAGACCTCTCCTGAGCTCCAGGTATGTCTACCCAAGTGCCTATCTGGTATCTTCATGTGGTTCTCTGATAAGCATTTCAAACTTACGAAGTTCAAAACTGAACTCTTGATCCTTTCCCCTGAACCTCCTCTTGATCCTTTCCCCTGAACCTCCTCTTGATCCTTTCCCCTGAACCTCCTCTTCATCCTTTCCCCTGAACCTCCTCTTCATCCTTTCCCCTGAACCTCCTCTTCATCCTTTCCCCTGAACCTCCTCTTCATCCTTTCCCCTGAACCTCCTCTTTCTGTAGTTTTGCACCACAATAAATGGCAACCCAGTCCAAGTTGCTTATAGCAGAAAGAGGCGGGTCATCCATAATTCTTTTTTCTCCTCCCTTCCCCCATTCAACCCTGATACAAGGTCCAGCTAATCCTACCTCTAACGTGCTCACTGGACTTGTCCATGCTCTCCACTTCCACTGTGGTCCACATCACCCTTGTCCCTCCCTTTTATGATGATTGTAACCAGTCTCCTTGCTCTCACTCTTATGTCCTCCAATCTACGTTCCTTACAGTTGCCAGCGATTTTTAAAAATTAGTAATTATTTTATTTTCTATAGCGTAGCAGTAAAAAGAATGGGCTGTGCAGCCAGACAGATGGGATAGTTATCTATTGCTGCATCTCATCACTTCTGCCTGCCTGCCTTCCTTCCTTTCCTTCCTTCCTTCCTTTCCTTCCTTCCTTTCCTTCCTTCCTTCCTTCCTCCCTGCCTCCCTTCCTTCCTCACTCCCTCCCTTCCTTTTTTTCTTTTTGACAGAGTCTCACTCTGTTACCCAGGCTGAAGTGCAGTGGTGCAATCTTGGCTCACTGTAGCCTCAACCTCCCAGGCTCAGGTGATCCTCCTACCCCAGCCTCCCAAGTAGCTGGGACTACAGGTGCATGCCACTACACCCAGCTAATTTGTGTGTGTTTGTGTGTTTTTAAATAGAAACAGGGTTTCGCCATGTTGTCCAGGCTGATCTCAAACTCATGGGCTCAAGGGATCTGCCTGCCTCAACCTCCCAAAATGCTGGGATTACAGGTGTGAGTCACCCAGCCACCTCATGTCTTCTGTGGTCAGGAATCTGGGCATACCTGAGCTGGGAGCCTCTGCCTCAAGGCCTGCCACAAGTCTGCAATCAAGGTGTCAGCCAGGGCTTTGGTCTCATCTGAAAGCTGAACTCGGGCAGGATCTGCATCCAAACTCATTCAAGTGGTTGGTGACAGGATTCATGTCCCTATGGTTGGAGCCCTCATTGAGTGAATTGCCCCACGGGCTGCTGGTGTCCATCATCAGCTGTGCCCTGACATGTTTGGCACAGATCAGGCTCAGTAAATGTTGAGTTATCCTGATGTTAAAGTGGAATTGCGGTGGTAAATATGCTGTCTCTGTCTTCCCGTCACTGGTGATACCCAGTTCGAGGCTGGATCACATCACTGTCCTCTTCTACATCCTTCAATGGCTTCCATCCCATTGAAGATAAAACCAAATTCCCGCTGGTGCCCAAGGCCCTGCCAGCTGTCCCACTGAGCTTCGAGTGCACCAGTCTGTTTCTCATTTTGGGGTCTGCACACCATTCAACTCTGCCTGGCTAACTCCCACTTATTCTCCAGGTATAAGCTTAATTACTACTTCCTCAGAGAAGCCTTCTTTGAATGCTTAATCTAAATTAGATCCCCTGGTATATATTTCCATAACACATTGGATTGTACTTACTACAGCTTGAAATTATATCTTTATGGTGTTTTTGATTAATATCTGTCTCTCGGCCAGGCTCGGTGGCTGACGCCTATGATCCCAGCACTTTGGGAGGCCGAGGCAGGTGGATCGCTGGCGGTCAGGAGTTCAAGACCAGCCTGACCAAAATGGTGAAACCCCACCTCTACTAAAAACACAAAAATTAGCCGGGCATGGTGGTGCACACCTGTAATCCCAGCTACTCGGGAGGCTGAGGCAGGAGAATAGCTTGAACCTGGGAGGCGGAAGTTGCAGTGAGCCAAGGTCACACCATTGCACTCCAGCCTGGGTTACAAGAGCAAAACTTCATCTCAAAATAAACAAACAAACAAACAAAAGCAAAAACAAAAACCTGTCTCCTTCTCTAAACTATAAACTCAAGCCAGGGACTGTATCAGTTTTGCTTTCCACTGTATTTCTACCCACAGATACAATGTTCACTCATAGTAGAAACTCACATTTTTATATACAAATTTCTTTTAGGCTAGGTGCGGTGGCTCATGCCTATAATCCTAGCACTTTGGGAGACTGAGGTGGGAGGATTGCTTGAGCCCAAGAGTTTGAGACCAGCCTGGGCAATACAGTGAGAGACTCACTTCTACAAAAATTTACAAAATTAGCCTAGCATGGTGTGCAAGTCTGTGGTCCCAGCTACCTGGGAGACTGAGGTGGGAGGATCACTTGAGTCTAGGAGGCGGAGGTTGCAATGAGCCGTGTTCACACCACGGTACTCGTCTGGGCAGGCAGAGTGAGATTCTGTCTCAAAAAAAGATGAAATAAATAAAAATTTATTTTAGAGATTTCAGTCGATCATAGGTAAGTTAATAAGTTGTCCTTCAATTAGTCAAATTGACAAGAAACATTTGTGTTCCTGGCCGGGCATGGTGGCTCATGCCTGTAATCCCAGCACTTTGGGGGGCCGAGGCAAGTGGATCACCTGAGGTCAGGAGTTTGAGACCAGCCTGGCCAACATGGTGAAACCTCGTCTCTACTAAAAATACAAAAATTAGCTAGGTGTAATAATTGTACATGCCTGTAATCCCAGCTACTTGGGAGGCTGAGGCAGGAGAATTGCTTGAACGCGGGAGGCAGAGATTGCAGTAAGCCAAGATCATACCACTGCACTCCAGCCTGGGTGACAGAGTGAGACTTCGTCTCCAAAAAAAAAAGTGTGTTCCTTAAATTCTATAATAGAGACTTTCTGTTTAGCCCAATGCAGTTTCAGACTAACTTTGCTGCTATGTGAGGTGTCAATATGAATTTTTGGCCAGGTGTGGTGGCTCATTCCTGTAATCCCAGCACTTTGGGAGGCTGAGGCAGGTGGATTGCCTGAGGTTAAGAGTTCAAGACTGGTCTGGCCAACATGGTGAAATCCCATCTCTATTAAAAATACAAAAAATTAGCCAGGCATGGTGGTGTGCACCTGTAATCCCAGCTACTCGGGAGGCTGATGCAGGGGAATGGCTTGAACCAGGGAGGTGGAGGTTGCATGAGCTGAGATCACGCCACTAGACTCCAGCCTGGGTGACACAGCAAGACTCCGTCTCAAAAAAAAAAAAAAAAGAATTTTTGGTCTGGGCTGGGTATATAATGAACACCTTTCTAAAATATGCGACTGAGAGCCAAGTTGAAGCACAGACTAATCTTTTAATCCGTACACTTAAACACCCATCTGGGCAACAGCAAAATCAGAAGTCTGCCATGCTCAATACATTTTCTTATGCCACCAAGACATTTTAAACATGTAAATAAAACAAACAGAAAGGTGGTAATCATATCCTTAGAAGCTGAATCTTGAATACAAAAACTTTAAATTGTTCCCTATTTCATCTTTATTCATTGCTTTAATTTTCTTCCATTTGGCCAGTCTCTTGCTAAATTAACATTACAGTCTGATTTTCTGAGTCTGTCATTCTAAGAAATTTCAGCTGGTTATTTTTACATTTTATTAAAAAACTTTTTTTTAAGACATGGTCTTGTGCTGTCTCTCAAGCTGGAGTGCAGTGGTGTCATCATGGCTCACGGCTGGCTCAACCTCCCAGGCTTAAGTGATCCTCCCAGCTCAGCCTCCCAAGTAGCTGGGGGCACAGTAGTGAGCCACCACGCCCTGCTATTTTTTAAAAAATTTTTGTAGAGATAGGGTCTCACTATGTTGCCCAGGCTGGTCTTGAACTCCTGGGCTCAAGTAATCCTGCCTTGGCTTCCCGAAGTGCTGGGATTATAGGTGTGAGCCACCATGCGTGGCCTCAGCTGGTTAAACACTTCCGCACCTTATACACATTTTAGAGATTTATCATTGTGGTTCAGAGTAACAGAATATTCTGAAGTTTCTTTCTTTTTTTTTTTTTTTGAGACGGAATCTCGCTGTTGCCCATGCTGGAGTGCAGTGGCACGATCTCGGCTCACTGCAACCTCCGCCTCCCAGGTTCCAGTGATTCTCCTGCCTCAGCCTCCCAAGTAGCTGGGATTACAGGCATGCGTCACCAAGTGGGTCCAGCTAATTTTTTAATATTAGTAGACACAGGGTTTCACCATGTTGGCCAGGCTGGTCTCGAACTCCTGACCTCAGGTGATCCGCCCGCCTCGGCCTCCAAAGTGCTGGGATTACAGGCGTGAGCCACCACACATGGCCTGAAGTTTCTTTTTGCCATATATTGTTTAGGTCTATTCTTACTGCCAGGTCCTGATCCTGTTTGTTGCTGCTAGTTTATTGGGCAGAGAGAAGCAAGAGTCTCGTAACTTTGGCTGGGAACATTTAGTTACTCCTAACCACAGTTCCGTCTTTACCTGGTACTGCAGGAATGAAGGCAGACAACAGAGTAGGGATAAAAGCAGGAGCTCTGCAGCCAGAATGCCCAGGTTAAAATCTGGCTTCCTCGACAACCAGCTGTGACCCTTGGCAAGTGACTTAATCCTTCAGTGCCTCGGAATCCTCATCTGTGAAATGGGGTTAAAAATACACTCCCCTCAGAGGGTTTTTGAGATAAAATAAGTTAATTTTCATAAACCACTTGGAGCAGTTTCTAGCCCATGGTAACTATTACCTACATGCTTATTAAATATCCTTATTTCTTTTTTGGAGGTTTTTAAAAAATATTTTTCTATCTCCATGGCTACACCCTCCTGCTAGAACCTAAGGATACTGAATCTATGGAGCATATTCAAGACCTGTGACTATTCCATGTCAGATATGGACGAGTAACAGAGCGTTGCTGCGCATTAAGTATGTCGTCTACAAAATGGTGCAAGTCCTGCATGCCTACCCTTTGGAGAAAAGAGTGCAATCTCTCTGCGCTAACCCACAAACACACACAAAACCTTTCCAAATCATCCTGTCAGAGATGTACTTTCACTTCAGAGAATAATTCTGTCCAACTTAGAGATTTTGTTGTTTCTGGTAATATACCACAGCATCTCACCTAAGAGTTTGCTTATTACAGATCAGAACACATTTGAACTCTAGGCTTTACGTGCAGAACACACGGAAGGTGATGCCATCAGGCTACTACCAAAGGACCCTTCTTCCAGTGTCTCAAATATATGGATTTTATAAATAAGAAACATTTCTGATTAATCAGCATTGTAGGTTCAAGTAAAAAAAAAAAAAACTGGCATAGAATTCTAGTCTTCCTACTTAATTTCCTAATGATTCTTGGTGTCCTTGTCAGAAAATTATTATTTTTTTCTTTTTTTTGAGACAGTCTCGCTCTGTCTCCTAGGCTGGAGTGCAGTGATTCGATCTCAGCTCACTGCAACCTCCGCCTCCCAGGTTCAAGCGATTCTTCTTGCCTCAGACTTCTGAGTAGCTGGGATTACAGGTGCCCGCCACCACGCCCGGCTAATTTTTATATTTTTAGTAGAGATGAGGTTTTGCCATGTTGGCCAGGCTGGTCTTAAACTCCTGACCTTGGGTAATCTGCCTGCCTTGGCCTCCCAAAGTGCTGGGATTACAAGAGTGAGCCACTACACCCGGCTGAGAAAATTATGTTTTGAAGTTCACTTTACTTTGAACGAGTCCTTTATCTGGAATTGTTCAATACATAGTTTGAGTTTATTGAACAGTCCAGTTCTTATGCCCCTTGGAGATTTTATAGTGGGGTCTTTGAAGGAAGTGCAAAGTAGGATCTCATCAAATGACTCTAGATGGTGAAATATATGTGGTCTCCAGTCAGCAACTATCAATCTTGGATGTACAAACAGCATTAAATGCCATCAATAATCCAAGTGAATACTAAGGGAATCATGATTCAAAGTAAGCTAAACAGAACCCAAGAACAGATAAAAATGCACCTTCGTTGGGGACAGTGTGGCCTAGGTAACCGACGGGTTATTGCCCTGATGAGAGGTGAGAGAGACACACCATCCCAGGACAGAACACTCACCCGCCTGTCCTCAGAGATGAAATGAGATGCCAACACTTTTTTTTTTGAAACTAAATACATTTTAATAGAAAACAAAATACAAAATAACTCTTTTCAGAAAACAGAAATATTTAATCCTTTTTCCACAAATTAGAACTTGCTTTATCCTCAGAGCATAGTTTGATATGCGTGCGTACATACTTACGATTTGTTTCACAAAGTGTTCATTAGACTGGTATTGCAGTGCAGGACGTGGGAGCAGTTCATTGCAGGAGAAAAAGACGTGGAAAAAGCCACACCTCTGAATGGTCATTCAGAAATTCAACATTTTTCTAATTCTATCTTGTTACTTATTACTCCAAATTATTCTTTATCATAATCTTTCTTTTGAGGGGAGAGAATTATTAAGAGAAGTGCAGCTTTGGAAAGAATTTTTCTTTCCCACCATCACTGCAGGAGCCCAAAGTGTTCTCAATCAAACCCACCCACCCACTTCCAGAAACATGTCAGCCAGGGTGATCAATCTGTCACCCGAAATTTCCCTTTCTCCCAATACACTGTGCTACCAAATTCTCTGAATTCCCTGAACCTCAAAATTCCAAGTATCAAAACCAGTGCCAGGAGTCAAACCTGAAAGATTAAAAGCAGAGAAGGTGCCCTCTGCCAGTGCTAGGTTTCCTCATGTCAATAATAATAATAATTATAATTATAATAACAATAATTAAAAAAAATCCTGGTTCTCTGTAATTACGGAAAAGGAAAGACTATTTGCCAGGATCATGCCCTCCCCTTTCCTCATTCCCGCCCCACATCCCTCTGCCAACAAGGACTTCCCTCCCACCTGAGGGCTGGACCATGCGTGACCCCTGCGGCGCCACTTCTCCTGAGGGTGCTCTACAGCCGCCCTCTAACCAAACCTAGCCCCAGTCAGATGGTGAAAATGAGAGACAGGAAGGTGCTCGCATGCGCGAGGTCACGGCAGAGTCTCCATGAGGACTTGTGAGTGACCTCCAGGGCACTCTAATTCTTGATCACTCATCATTGCCTCTCTCCTGTTCCCCTCCCCAACCTTGGCCTTCGACACTGGGGGGCTGAGTGAAGGGGGACCTGCCCGGAATGAGGGCCCAGGAGAGAGGGGAGGAGGGGGCTCTTTCACAGTCAATGATTCAATCTCAGCTCATTGAAGGATTGCAACTGGAGGCTTTCCACTGTTACCCCAGTCCGTTCCAACAAAGTTAAAAAATTAATGTTCCTGATTTTCTTGTGTAATTCCAGTCACCAGAAGAAGGTTACAGGCCATGAACTGCACGCTCAGGACGTTGCTCATCTGCCCGGTGTACACGCCCACGAGCTCGCTGGAGGAGCCGTCGGCAGGTGCACTGCAGTAAGTGTTCCTGATGTCCCAGACGCGCACCGAGTTGTCCATGGAGGCAGAGGCAATCAAGCCGCTGTCTGGACTGAAGGTGAGGCTGGTGATATTGTCTGTGTGGCCTCTCAACTCTTTATAAAGGGTCCCAGAGGCCAAGTCCCACAGCTTCAACCGCTGGTCCTCGCCAGCAGACGCCAAGTACTTACCGTTGGGAGAAAAGGCGAGAGAAAGCACGGGGCCACGGTGGCCTGTGAAAAGCCTCACCGAGTTCCCCTGCTGAGCGCTCCACAGCCGGACGGTCTTGTCGGTTGAGCCCGTGGCCAAGTAGTTTGAATTAGGGTGGAATTTGACACAGTCCACATCTGCCAGGTGTCCTGCATATATCCTCAGCGGGTACGTCCGATCAAATGACCACAGCCTGGCGGTGCGGTCGTGGGACCCGCTGGCGAAGTACAGGCTATATGGACTGATGTCCAGATCCCACACAGGATAGGCATGTCCTTGGTACAACACAGTGTTGGTGAAACTCCCCAGATCCCAGTATCTGATGGACATGTCTTCAGAACAAGAGAGCAACCCTGAGCTGTCCGCGAGGAACCTCGTGCTGTACACTGGTCCGCAGTGGCCCCGCAGTATCTTCATCTCCGTGCCTGCATTATCATCCTCATCATCCTGGGAACAGTGGGGTGGGGTGGGAAAAGAAACACACACAAAAAATGTTCAGTGGTCTGACAAGGAAAACAAGTCCAGGAGAAAAAAAAGTAGAGAACTGAGACTGCTTGGGAAATAGCATCTATCCAGCAAATGACAGTGGCCTTGCCCTTGAACGCTACCCCAGGAAGATAACTCATAACTGAATAAAAGTCTCTTACGACTTACAAATTGCTCCCCTTAAATTCACCTTGCAGCTCAGACTATATCAGATTAAAAGATACAGAAATGCAAGGCCATTACAGAGTAATGACTGTGGACCTTACCCTTTGATTGAGGATAGCTTGTATGGTTAATTCTGATGTGTGCCATTTGAAAATATTTACTTTTGAATTTACGTGAGGCTCTTAGATTGTTCTATTCTATGGGCATTGCCTTCATCCATCAGTTTTAGCTGCTTTATAAGCCATACTGCTGTTTTTACTCCATTTAACTGACAACAACATTTCGTTAAGTCCTGACATGTTCCTTACTCCCATGATGGGGGTTAATGATGGACACAGCGACACATGAAGGCAGATGTGGTATCACTTCAAGATTTTTTTTTTTCAGATGGAGTTTCGCTCTTGTTGCCCAGGCTGGAGTGCAATGGTGTGATCTCGGCTCACCACAACCTCCGACTCCTGGGGTCAAGCGATTCTCCTGCCTCAGCATCCCAAGTAGCTGGGATTACAGGCATGTGCCACCACGCCTGGCTAATTTTGTATTTTTAGTAGAGATGGGGTTTCTCCATGTCGGTCAGGCTGGTCTTGAACTCCCGACCTCAGGTGATCCGCCCGCCTTGGCCTCCCAAAGTGCTGGAATTATAGGCATGAGCCACCGCGCCCAGCCTCACTTCAAGATTAACACACAACCATTGGTTCAGGCATGGTGGCTCGCACTGTAATCCCAACAGTTTGGGAGGCCAAGGCAGGAGGATCACTGGAGCTAAGGAGTTGGGAGACCAGCCTGGGAAACATAGGGAGATTCTTTACCAAAAAAATTTAAAAAATTAGCTGGGCATGGTGGCGCATGCCTGTGGTCCCAGACACTTGGGAGGCTAAGGTAGGAGGCTCACTTGAGCCTGGGAAGTTGAAGTTGCAGTGAACTGTGATGGCACCACTGCACTCCAGCCTGGGGGACAGAGCAAGACCCTGTGCCCAAAAAAACCCAAAACAAAAACAAACACAAACAAAACCCAGAACTATCAGAGGAGTTTAGCCAAAATAAAACCTGGATGTTTAAGAATTAACACTAAGCTAGAAAGGTACAGTTACTAGTAAATCACAGCTCCCCCTGCCTAGTGACCAGCCACAAACTGCTTAGTGTTTCAAAATAAATAAGAATGAAGTTTTTAAAGTGACTTTCTGGAGGGTCTCAAAAAACATCTCCCCCAACGTAACAAAACAAGGTGTGGATTCAGAAGTGCTTGAAGCAAAGCCAAGCGATTCATGTGATTCTTCGAAATAATTTCCTGTGTGTGACGACAGAAAAGACGGCAACTAATGGTACTCAGAAAGAGTCCTCTTTCCTGGTCCTCTCCCCACAAGTATACCATCTGTTTTCAAAATTCATTTCCCTTTATTCCCACATAGATAAACTCCTCAAAACTACAGCTGTCTCTTCTGTCCCAGAATTCATCAATTAAAATGGGTTTTAATTAAACACCAGAAGAAAGGAGTATGATGAAGATCCCCAAACCAGTCAGCTTTGTTGGTTCATTGTGGCAGCCTTAGGTTCTTGTATAAGAAAAGGGCACCTTTTTTTTCTACTTGAAAATAGTTAAATTCAAAATAAAATGAATGCCTCCCATGTGTACATATTTAAGAAAAAGTTGAGAGAAAATAAACACTGATGTCCATGAATATTCACAATGGCTATTCCAAACACTCAACATTAAAAATACATTAAGTATTTGGGAGCTTAAGGGTCTACTGAGTGCTACCAAGAATATTAGTAATTTTCCTTTCCAAAGAAGTTACAACAACACTTTAAAATTTCAAGAATGACTCACTGCTCTACACCAGAAAGTTTATATAAAGACTGTGGGAACAAAAATGACACCAGATGAATTAAACAAAGATCCTGTGAAAGTTAACTGTGAATTAAAGGACATGTTACTGCCTCTGAGGTGTAAGTGGTCTTCATTTGGAACAAGAAGCTATGGAAGTGGCCTTCACCTCCTCAGTGGTGAAGGCATCACAATTGGAGATGAAGGTGCATGGGCTAGGAGCATGGGCTGGGAGTCCAGCTGGTGCTCCCCAGGGATCTTGATGATTGTCCCAGGCTGGTGGAAACGTGTCCAGCTGACTCTGTAGACCAAGGAATGGAGAAACCAGAATGTTCCTGTTGGCTATCACTGTCAGCCCTCTGCCAGGACCACAGCTTAAAATAACCCAGCCACATTTTCTGTGTGGCTCAACCAGTCCCACACGGGCCTCAGCACGGTCGAGCAGCTGATTTACAAGGGCCCAACGCCATGGGTTTTCACTTCTCTCTCCTGCCGACAGGATAATACCATACCCTACGATTCAGCCTGAATACTCCACAGTAATTGGGTATGCATCCCAAATAGAAATGTTTAATTTGTAAAGCATATTCATGTAATAATAAATCTTATTATATACATTATGAAACACACATGAAATAGAAATTTAACAAGAAAAATAAACATAAAGAGATCAAGTATCATCTCATGCACCCTTGTGCTGTAGTTTGCTGCCCCTGCTCTGGACTATGGAGTCCCTAAAACCTCAGATTTGTTATGGCCGTCTGCTCCTGGACTCTGAGGCTCCAACTACCTCAGAGCTCACACTCACGTTTCCCCCAGACCAGGGGTCCTTTCTTGGGGTCTGGAATTTAGCCTCCATCTATTCTCTAATTAGCTGTCAGTGGAACAGGAAGACATTAAATTTGGCTGGACTTGTGAGTGTATTAGACTTGGAAGCAAGTGAATCACTGCTATCTACGTGGGAGATGACAGCAGCCTGAACTAGAACAGAAAAGTTGGATACTGGCTAGCATGAATTGACATGTGCTGTTCATGTAAAATACATATCAGATTTCTAAAACTTAGGACCAAAAGAGATGTATGTAACAGGTTTCATGAATGATTTTTTATATTGCTTACATGCTGAAATAATTTGTTCATATTAGTTTGAATGAAATACATCATTAAAATTAACAAATTTTTAACCTTTTTAGATGTGGCTACTAGAAAAATTTAAATTACTATATGGCTCACATCATATTCCCATTGGATAGCATTAATCTAAATGACAATTTGATACACAGATTATAGAATTGAGTATTGCTGCTAATATTGCCTTCTTTACTTTTCAAACCTAAAGAAGACCAGATTGGGGGCAAAACCACCAGACATATAAATGAATTGCACACAGCTGTTTTACTGCTGAGTTAAGGAGGCGGGTGCTGGTAGTGATAAGGGTAGCTGCATACACACAGCTGAAAAGAAAGAAGAGCAAATCCTTGGTTTGGTATCTCTGTGGTTTTGCCATGTTGCTCAAATATTAAAAATACATAGGTATCAATCAACAGGGGTAAGGGTTGGATATCTCTTTTTTTTTTTTTTTTCTTTTTTTTTGAGACAGAATCTCACTCTATCGCCCAGGCTGGAGTGCAGTGGCGCGGTCTCAGCTCACTGCAACCCCTGCTGCCTGGGTTCAAGTGATTCTCCTGCCTCAGCCTCCTGAGTTGCTGGGATTACAGGTGTCTGCCACCACGCCCAGCTAATTTTTGTATTTTTCATAGAGATGGGGTTTCACCATCTTGGCCAGGCTGGTCTTGAACTCCTGACCTTGTGATCCACCTGCCTCGGCCTCCCAAAGTGCTGAGATTACAGGCGTGAGCCACCGCACCCAGCCAGATATCATTTCTATCTCCATTTCATATAGAACAAAAGATGGAGAATGAAGGTTTCACTCTTCATCTCAGTGTCTGAAACAGGAGGAGGGCTGCTCATACCAAGGTAAAAAGCAAGGGACTGCTATGTCACTTAACACCTTTCCAAAGGTTAACCTAGATGATCTTTAAGTGGGAGACAACAGAAGCTACAGGACAGTGCTGTGAATTCAGTTTTATTTGGCATAATTAACAGAGAAAATTTTAAGCTTACATAGAAGATTTTGGTTACTGTTATCCTGTTTTTTTTTTTAAACTGAGATATAATTACATACTATATAATTCTTTCAAAGTGTACAATTCAATGATTTTTAGTACATTCACAGAGTTGTGCAATGATCACCACTATCTAATACAGAACATTTTCATTACCTCACAAAGAAATGCCACACCCATTAGCGGTCACTCTCATTCTCCTTGCCCAGCCCCTGGCAACCACTCCTCTCCTCTCTGTCTCTATGGACTTGCCTATCTGGATATTTCCTATGAAAGGAATAACAGTAGGTGACCTTTTATGACTGGCTTCTTTCACGTAGCATAAAGCTTTCAAGTTCATCCATGTTGCAGCCTGCATCAGTGCTTCATTTCTTTTTATGGGCAAATAATATTCCACTGCATGCACACACTACATTTTATTTATTCATTCATCTTGATGGCCATTTGGACTGTTTCCACTTTTTGGCTATTGTGAATAATGCTTCCATAAATATTCATGTACAAGTGCCTGTGTGCACATGTTTTCCATTCTCTTGGATATATGTCTAGAAGTGGAATTGCTGGGTGTGAACACCGTTTCAAATACTGTAGAAATACTGTATTCACTGATTTATGTAATAGTTATTGCTTCAAAAAGATGAAAGCAGAGAGTGCAAGCTGGCTTTTTAATCTGACTTACATAGTGATTTTGTACTTTCTATCATCTCATTAATCCATGTGGCTTCACCACTTGCTTTTACCTGTTTGGTTTCTCTAGGTATGTGAGTTTGTGGCTCCTGTATTAAGAGTCTCTATTTTATTTTTTTTAATATTCAATATTTCATTTCAAAATAATAGTCTGTTTTAATTATGCATTCTATAAGGGAAAAAGAAAAGTCCAAATTTTCACTGGAGAAACATTAAACACCAACTATCGTAACTAATTTATGCCTGGCTTTCTCCCCAAATGCTTGTTGTCAGAAACCAAAAAGAAAACTTCTCAAATTGCTGTGATAAAATGGGCGGGCATGCAGGAAGCCCCTCAACAACAGAATAGGAGAATCTCAGCTTTAGTTCTTAAGTTTAAAAAAAAGGTTTATTCTTAAAAAGGGCAGAGGTTAGCTAGCATCTACAGTACTTTCAGTATGAACCATGATGGAAAGCCAGAAATGCTTAAACAAAACCACCATTCCAATGACGTCTTTTGCTTTCTTCTTGATGGACATCCAACTGTTTAAGCCTGAAACACAAACGTCACCCTTGATGCTTGCTCTCCCTTATCCCCTACAGTAATTGAATAACCGAGCTCTTCTCTAGTCCATCCATGTCTCCTTTGCCACTGCCACTACCCTAGTTTGGCCGCCATAATTGCTCATATAAGACAGTGTCACTACATCACTTCCTGTCTTGGCCCCTCTCCTAACTCCAGCCATACTTAATTTCTTTCAGTTCCTGGAATTCCGCATGCGGTTCCTCACTTCTGAGTCTTCAGATACACTTCTGATACCCGGAAATAAACATAGGACAAGCCACAGAGCTAGTTACCAGTAGTGGCCAGAGTCTTAAAATGTTTTATTTTGGTCTACTGTTATCAGATGTCATAATGCTATCTTCTTTAATATTAATTTTTAATGCACAGAATAATCTCCAAACTCTGTATCATCAAAGCTAATAAGGTCAGTGTAATTTTTTTTTGTATTTACAGAAAATCGAAAGCAAATGCAGGCAGTATTCCTCAGTTTTATCAGAAGAACTCCCAAAAAGGGAACTGTCTCCAAGGAAAAGAGATGTTTGAAAATTCAAATACAAATGTAATAAAAAATATTTTGGAGAGTACTATAAAATTCTAGAAATTAAAGCTTCTACATGGGAATCTAGACTCTTCACTCATCACAAGGAAATCCTTCAATTATACTGTCTCGGTTGCAAGAATCAAAAATTCAAAGGCCATCCTAACTGGAAGTGGACTCAGAAAACAGGAACAGGAAAACAATGGTTTAATTTAGGGCACCCAATATTCTTGACATCCTTATCATTAACTGTAATTTAATTAGAGTGATTTTTTTGCTCCTTAATTATTCAACATTGTGTAAAGAATTTTCCATCCAAAGTAATGTGAGGCAGAGCTACCTGAATTTCAGTGGTGATAAGACAAAAATACTTTGGCCCACAGCTTTTTCAGGACCACTCTAAAGAAAAGTTAATGCTGTGAAGTTTAATTTCTATCTTCCTTGGCCCACATTTTTTCTAAGGTAGTGATTTTTGGTGACCTGAAACCCAAGCTGCGCCTGCCCTTTTCAATGACTGTCCTAAACGGTTACAAGCCAAACAAGATTGAACACTGACTGACGGGGGGAGGGGAGCTGGCAACTCTACTTCCTGTGTTACTTCTCCAAGTGGGGTCTGGGAACACCCCGGGGTACATGGAGCCACAGGATATGCACTGGCCTCAGAAAGCCAATACCATCCATCCAGTGTGGTGAGGGTGCAGGGATGCCAGTATTCTTACTACTGTTGCTGAGACTGTGAAATGGCACAACCTTCTGTGGGGAAAATAATATTCATTACAGTTGACAATGGAGGCCCTTCGACTCAGTTATCCTACTACCGATTATTTGTACCTGAGCAAATGTGCACACACATAAGTGTATATTTACTGCAAATCTCAGCTAAAGTCAATATTAGCTAAAGGTCTTTCATTAGGCTTAGTGTTGCTATCCACATTTCACATAGTATAAATACTGACCATTCATTAATAAGAAGTTAATGCTGCTAAAAATTGTTTTTGCATCTTAGGTTAGGCATGTGCAGGAATTCAATGGCTACAGGTAACATGTCATTAGTCTGGCTTTAGCTATATGATGAGGGAAACTAGGAAGTCCATTCTAAGATATGTCGTGTTTGGTAAGGACATTCTAAGGAAATTAGGAAGGCGGGTGCAGGGAAGAAAAAAATGGTATTCATACCTCCTCCTCCAGAATATCACAAGCCAAATGGATGCGGGACACGTCTACTTGGTGGGGCTCTGATTTTAACTTCTTGGATCGTAAACTCCAAAGTTTTATACAGGAGTTGTCAAACCCAGCAGCAAGCAGCTTGCTATCGGGGGAGATTTCTGCAGTGTTCAACAGCTGCTCTGTGTTATAGAAGGCATAGAAGCAGATGGTAGTGAGGGAGGGAGGCCCATCCTTGACTCGCTTAATGCTCTCCTGTAAGACCTCTAGGGCAGCCTCGTTCTGCAGAATAGGGCTGGGCATGTCGGGGGGCTCCAAACCGTTGTTCTCACTGCGGGAGGAGCTGCCACTGGCATACAGCTGATAGTCTGTTCTCTTGGCAGGCTGCACGTCAAGATGAATATGTAAGGTGAGGACTTTGCACAGGGCAGTATTGTTGTCACTTTGGAGGTAGCGGATAAGGTAGTTGTAGCTGTCTTCTTGGAGACGGACCACGTACTTGTTATCTAGGAATGCTCGAAGCTTGAAGTTAGATAGGATGTCCTGGATGGTTTGAGTGGTCTGTAGCTGCTCAATGACATCCTTCTGGCTAGCATTCTGCAGAAACATTCCATGGAAGCGGCTGTAAAAACTTTCCACTGTGCTCTTCGGACTGTTTTGGACCAGGTTGAGATGGAGGTAGACAAAGAGAGGATAGAGGAGAGGCATCACTTCGTGGCTATGCTGGGAATCAGAATCTATAATGAAAGAAAAAGAAGGCTTTATAATCAGCATAATCTTACAGAATAACGTGATCCCTCCTGGGGATCACCACCATCATATAATGCTTTCTTGCCAGGACCCCATTTTTTAAGAGTACTGATTGAACTATAAGCCCAACACAGGATTCTGGAATTTCAAAGGCCTTTTGATTGAAGAAAGAGCATGAACTCTGAAGTCCAGCAAATCAGGGCCTGAAGTTGGGCACAACGCAGGAACTTAATGCCCAGAGTGGTTAAGTGACTTGCCAGAGTTCACAACAATACAGTGGCTTGTACCCAGGTCTTCAAGATTTAGTATTTTTTCCCAATATGTTAGTGTTTCTTCAAATTGGGGACCTCAGATATCTGAGGGTACTTAGACATATTCTTGGAAGATTGAGTTCTTCACAATTTTTTAATGTGATGATAATATAAAAAATAATCAACACACAGTATATTCAGAATTATCTGGATGTCCGCTTAACAAGTAAGTACTGACAAGTGATTTTAGTGCTCTAGTTTGTGTTTTGTGATTACTTTTGGCATCCATTGTCTCAAGTAAAATCAAAGCACTTATTTTAGTGGGCTCATTAACATGTCTGGTTATACAGGCTGGCGTGTCCTGTGTTAACATGACAGCCTTCATTAACAATTGTCTCATCAGCATATTCATTCTGATTTTGTTGGTTAACAAGTTAAATTCTCTTTTGCAGTGATAATTTACAAATAAGACCATTTTACGTCATTAAGACTCAACTACTTACTAACTTGGGAGTTTAGCGCCATGAAACTGTAAGACAGAGAATGTTATTTAAAAGGTGTACAGCTTGAATTCATGGGTGAATGAGAAAAGAACAGAGGTATAATTGACACCTAAATAAGTGCTTAAGGCATGCTGTGAGGGAGCAAAGGTTTCGATGTGATTCATACACAGTGGGGAGACAGCAGGGCCACTGCAGGGCAGAAGCCCCCCAAGGAGCTGAGACCAGCCCGTGTCACAGTCACCAGTGCTGTCCAGATGCCTGCTTGCAGTAGCAAGGTAGTTCTGGCAAAATCCATCCGTTACATTCACTCAGTGTTATTTTCAACTTGACTGCCTTTGGGGTTTTGCTTGTCCCTTATCTGTAATGAGTCTGGGTTTCATAAAGAAATATAATAAGCATAAAGGTTTTAGATCTAGTGTAATGTTTGTACATATTTAAATAAATTAAAATAAAAATGTTTTAAGTCAGCACTTATGTTCTGGTAGCATTTTTTTTTTTTTTCATGAAAAGGCATCAATACAGGGTTTAAGACTGAGGAATACTGCATCAGAGAATCTTGCTCCCTAATTTGATGATAAAAGATATCTGCATGTTATTTCTGCTTAACACCCTATTTCACTTTATCACAAGGTGAATGAATCTGCTGCATAATATTCATAATATGCATTTTAGAATAAATGTATCCCTACTCATTATTTAGAGGATGAAAAATTACAATCATTCCACTGAACTGGAAGTTAAGACAGCCACCCAGCCACTTTGGGCTCCTCACACCTCTGAATCAATAGGCAAGGAAGGGAGTTACAGTGTTGGCTGGGGTAATTGATCCTGCCCAAGAGGAACTGGAACTGCTACACAATGGAGGTAAGGAGGAGTATGTCTGGCTTAAGGAGATCCCTTAGGACATCTCTGTACCCTGCCCTGTGATTACAGTCGATAAAAATGACAACAATCCATACAGGACTATGAATGGCCCACACCCCTGAAGAATGAAGGTTTGGGTCACCCCACCAGGTAAACCACGATCAGCTTGCGAGATGAGTGCAAAGGGAATACAGAATGGGTAGTGGAAAGAGGCAACCATGAATACCAGCAACCACCATGTGACCAGCTACAGAAACGAGGACTGTAATTGTTGTATTTCTTGTTTTGTTACGAATGTTTTGGTGTGAATATCTATATATAGATATATAAAAAGAAAATATCTTCGCATTCTTTCCTTTCTCGTTCCCTTATCATGGAACATCGGATTACTGACTTTATTTTTTTGAGATGGAGTCTCGCTCCGTCACCCAGGCTGGAGTACAGTGGCGCGATCTCGGCTCATTGCATCCTCTGCCTCCTGGGTTCAAGTGATTGTCCTGCCTCAGCCTATTGAGTAGCTACAGGCGTGTGACACCACGCTCAGCTAATTTTTGTATGTATATATATATATATATGTATTTTTTTTTTAGTAGAGATGAGGTTTCATCATGGTGGCCAGGTTGGTCTTGAGCTCCTGACTTTAAGTGATATACCCATCTCAGCCTTCTGAAGTGCTGGGATTAAGGGTGTGAGCCACTGTGCCTGGCCAGATTACTGACTCCATATCATAGTATTTAAGTATTGTTAACTTTACCTCACCGTATCAAAATTATGGAATATCACGGAGAGGAGTAAACATCATCCAAGGACTTTGCATTCTCCTCCGGGGAAAAGGTTAGTGTGTTTTTTGGTTGTACACAGGATAATTTTATTAGGTTAGGTGGAAGTATGAACTTGTTATTCTCTTTATTTGGAGATTAAGTATGGAATAAGGAGATGCATACAGGTGCCAAGTTAATAAGGAGTGGACTTGTGAGGTTACTTTTACATGTCAAACTGTGGGGGGGCCCACGGCACACAGATATTCAGTCAAACATTATTTTAAATGTTTCTGTGAAGGTATTTTTTTTTTTAGATGAGATTAACACATTTAAGTCAGTAGACTTTGAGTAAAGCAGATTACCTTCCATAAAGTGTGGGCCTCATCCAATCAATCAATCAATCAGTTTAGGCTTTAATAGAAAAAGACTTATCTTCCCCTAGTAGAAGGAATTCTGCCAGCAGAGAGCCTTTGGATTTGAACTGCAACACTAACTCTTTCCTGGGTCTCCAGCCTGCTGGCCCGCCCTGATTTTGAATGTGCCAAGCCTCCACAATTGCATGGAACAATTCCTTAAAGTAAACCTCTACATATCCATCCTGTTGGCTCTTGGCTGTTTCTTTCGAGAACTGTGACTAGATTTTGGTTTTTCTTTTCCCTTTGTTTTTTATTGGGATGAAGGATTGTTTTCAATTCCTTAGAAACAAAATTTCAGGCTCCTTTTCTAAAATGAGAGGCATTTCAATTGAGTAAGTTTAGAAAAAAACCTAGCTATCAAGAAATAGTGATGTACTACTTTAAAACTTACTGAAATTCACTGTTGCTTCAGCTCATAGGTTCAAAATTGCTTAATTGCTCTCTCTTGTCTGAAGAGAACAGTATGCTGGGTATAAAACAAAAAAACTGATCAATTTGGAAGAAGGTGAGATTCAGAATTCTAACTCCCATTTTAAATTATTCCCTTGCAATCTAACATACTCTGTATTTTACTGAAAGTGTACTCACTTAAAATATATTTTTTTCTAACTGCAAAAGTAACAAACATATCCTCTGAAAGTACACTTTTTCTTCCTTCTATCTACCCACTGAAATGTAATGAATGCCTACCTGGTGCCCAACTCTACTGGCGGTAAATGAGAGAACAATGGAGTTTTTCATGAGTTCATGGAAATTAGTAGTAAAAAGGATACTAAATTAAACAAAACTAATCCTGTCGGTCCTCATTCTCCTCTACCTTTCTTCAAGGTTTGGCTCTATTGACTAGCACTCCTCTGTCCTTTATTCTGAAAGCCCACACTACTTGGTCCTGTCGTCACTCCCTTTTTGGTTCCTCTTCCTCCTGTCAATCCTCAAATGCTCATTTCACTTTAAAGAATTAACACTGGGTGTGTGCCTCTTAGGAGCCAGGTACTTTGCATCCATGATCATGTTTAAGAGTCACAGCTGGCCCTGGTTCAAATCCAGAGGTTGCTTGACTCCAAAGGCTGTGTTCTTCCCACTACACCTCCTGAAGAATAGGACCTACGGCAATAGGTGAGCTCACAGAATCTCTCATCTACAGACAACCTGTGGAGGAAAAATACATTCAGGTGGATATAGACATAGATACTCTTATATCTTTCCCTAGTATCTTCCTTTGAGATTTTATCACTTCTTAAGACTTTAATTTGCATCTCCATGTAGCTGATGCTACATGTTCTTTATTACAAGTCTTTATCTTTCTCCTAAATCCTAGCCTCAAATTTCCCACTGCAAGCTATGCAGTAGGATGCCACTGTCATGACAATTTAACAAACATAAACCCTTCTGACTTATTTATTTTCAATAAATCTTCATCTCCACTCCAGTCTTAAAGCCTGAGCCATCGTCACCTCTTCTTCCTCCTTTACTCCTGAGCCTTGGAGATTCCACCTTGGTAATTTAACTATGAAATAAAGCTCCTGCCTTCCAGTTCCACAATGCTGTCAAATTCTGGTCCTTTCTCACCTCATTTCTCAAGATTGCCAAGCACTTTAATTCACAGTCAGTCTCCCTGCCATTCCTCTTACAAATAATTTTACAAACTGCTTTCAGACTAATATTCATTGATCTCCAGCCTGAAACCCCCATTCACAACAAAGCCTTAGTTGTTCCTGTACAGTCGTCAAGCCTGCCTTTTTGCTCATGTTATTTCTTACCCAAATTACTCCTCTTCCTCCTCCTCTTCCAGTCTACTGAAACTCAATCCATCCTTCAAGTGCTGACTTAAAGCCTACCTCCTGCTCAGTAAAGCCTTCTCTGACTACCGCCAACCAAATCACTTTCTCCTTTCATTCTGAATGCAATTCCTATATGATTCAGCAATTGATCTCATGCTGGTCTGTGAAAGTGCTTCTGTGATATTCAAATTTTATGTAAAAACTTTTACCTATAGTGTTTTTATGCTAGGACTGCTTCTAAAATAGATTAATGAGTATATCTTACACTTTATCTTGGTGATCAGGAAATAACTATTCATTTGATTTGGTTAACTGCTCTTCAGAGACCTGAGGGTAGAGAAAAATATTCCAGGAGCAGCAGTCCAAAGTGATCAATATATATTAACCCCTTTAAAATAATGATCCTTTAAACCAAAGGATTAAAGAATCAAATTACAGACAAAATAACAGACAACTTTCTCAGTTCAGAAATAAAGTAAGAACTTAAAGGAAATGGTTGATAGACTATAATCTTTTGAAATGTAAAGTTCTGGCCAAACAATCCTTGTGGTAATAATTTTTAATGGTAAACGACGAGTATACAGTAATCAATATATAAACCAAAATAATACACCTGGCCTTACACACGCATAGAATTATCCTAGTTTTACCTGGCCCCCATAATGGTATTTTAAAGCAAAGAATCTATATTTACTATAGTCTACAGTTGGAGAAAATGGTCAAAATATTACAGGAAATAAGGGTTACAAAATAAAACCCTCTAGTGGGGTTATCTTATCAGTTTCATGGTTGTTGGGTGACAGAATTCATAAGTAGAGAATAGTCTGTTTAATAGTTACAAAAACGAAAAATCATGAAAATTAAGGCTTTAGTAAAATGACTCTATTATGTTTGAAAAAAAGGAAGTTCCATTAATTCTGCATATCATATAAATCTTAAATATTTCAGTGCAGTGATCAATTTCCACTAAGGATAAAAAAAGAAAAACCGAATTTATAATAAGGGTTTCTTTCATTGAGAGGTAAGAACTTAGAGATATTTTTTATCATTGGCATTGGTTTCTGAGGCTTTAAGCAACTTGCAGAAAAATTTAACTCAGTTTTTAGAAAGTTATTTTACTCAGTTAAAAAAATATGATATTAATCTCTCCATGACAGATTTATTTTCACCATACTAGTGGTGGGGAAGCTGGTTTAGAAACAAATGTCTTGGCTGGGTGTGGTGGCTTGTGCCTACAATCTCAGCACTTTGGGAGGCCAAGATGGGAGGACTGCTTGAGGCCTGGAGTTTGAAACCAGCCTGGGCAACACAGTGAGACCCTGTCTCTACAAAAAAATTTAAAAAAATTAGCCAGGTGTTGTGGCACATGCTTGTGGTCCCAGCTACTCAGGAGGCCGAGATGGGAGGATCACTTGATCTCAGAAGGTCAAGGCTGCAGTGAGCCGTGATCATGCCACTGCACTCCTGCCTGGGCAACAGAACAATACCGTCTCAAAAAAAAGAAAAAGAAGCAAATTATCTGGCTTCTTTGAGCCTGTCTCCTTCATTCGTTCAGCCTGTATTTATGTTAAGTGCTGACTACATGCCAGGATAGATATTGTCCTAAGATATATTGATATGGTCCCCGCCCTCATGGAGCATATAGTCTAATGAGGAAAACAGACACAAAAGTAAATCACCAAATGTATAATTTTAATAGTGGTATATTCTGACTCATGACAGTGAGATGGCTCTTGTCATGGTCATGACTTATTTCTATTATGAGTGACACTCAGATGACCCTAATGACATTACATACATTTTTGTATTTTTTTAATCACTGAAGCATAGGTGTATAATAAAATAAACTCAATGGCATAATTTTATTGCTACAGAACTGTAATGATTTTTGCAGTGAAGTATTAATACACTCGGTTGATTGCTAAAGTGAGTTATCCTGGTGTAAATTTTTATGTTCACATCCCTTTCCGATTTATCTTCTGGGGCTCTTAATGTTTTTCTTCCTAATGTTCTACAGTATCTTTTTTATTCTTATCTCAAGTGGTCATTCTGCCACTCAAAAACTGGTCTAAATGACAACTTCTAGCATTTTTGCCTGTTCATTCATAAGGACTATTTACTTGCACTTTTGGAAATACGGGGCAAAGACCATTGTGAAATGTACTATATTATTAGTAGAGATGTCATGTACATTTCAAATGTGCTGTATTTAAGGATGCTTCTCTGCATAGCTGACAGTTTTTACTTATTCAATACAAGTCACAAGTCACTGTGCTGAAGGCCATGAATAAAACAGTGAATAAACACCCAGAGCTCTGCCCTTGTAAACTTAAACCTCGTGATTGAACTCTTCAGGAATTCCAATAGACCATAAGTTTGAATGCAAGAACTGTGTTAAGAGTACCTTCGAATCCCTAGTACCTCAAACCAATTGTGGAATATAGTTGGTTCTGAGGGAAATCTGCATTACTCTATTTTTTAATTTTTCTTTTTACCGCTCCTTGTGGAGCAGGGCTAACTCACAAGCAGTGTGCCCAAAGTTGGTCTGTATTACTCTGTTTTCTTAAAAAGAAAAGGTTCTAGAGCTGAGTACTTACCAGTGAGAAAATTCCGCAGTCGTCCAAACTGTACTTCATATTGCTGGGGTTCTGCCTGGCAAGGGGCTGCAGACACTATGTTGGCACAACCAGATTCTGATTGCACTAAAGAGGAGAAGATACACAAGTCAGGGCGGGAAACAGAGAGACGATTATTAACCCAGTACGTGGCAGGATGGGTGAAGGAGGGTGTTGTGCACACACGCACAGCAACTGACATTTCAGCAGGTTTCCAAAGCATGCTGGGTCCTGGTTAAACATGACAGACTGATGACACTTGTTTCTCTCCCCTCCCTCCTGAAGCCCAATAAAATGAAGGCCAGGGAAGGAAAGGCATAAAGCACAGGATAAGGTGAATGAGAGAGGACAGGTACATCAATCCATGAGATTCATCAGGAAATGTTTGATCCTATGTTCTGACATTTCACAGGTGCCTTGGTGTGGGTTCATTGTCAATCACTGTGCTGGGCACTTAGTGGGCCCTTTCAATCTGGAAATTCATGTCTTCTAGTTCTGTGAAGTTTTCTGGAATCATTTTGATAATTCCCTATCTTCCAAGACTCCTACAATTTCAAGGTCGGATATCCTGAACCAATCCTTTAATTTTTTTCTCCTATTACTCCATTTCTTTGTCTTTTTGCTCTACTTTCTGAAAGCCTTCCTCACCCTTCAGCCCTTCTACTATTTCCCCCTACATTACTTATAATACCTAATGAGTTTTTATTTTTTACTATCATGTATCTAATTGGTAACTTTTTTCATTCTCAACATTCTCTTTTCCCCTAAACACGCTATGCTTTTTGAATCTTAAGTATTTAAAACAAGGTATTTTTGAAGTTTTCTTCTGTTTCTTTCCATCTGCCCTTCTTATGAGATATGTTTCTTCTAGGGTTCAATGGCCCCTGGCTGTCTTACGGTGAGGCACTCTGGGTGGTGAGGCTCATCCTCCAGGGTGACCAGGGTGAGCAATGTCCCAACATCACTGTCTTTTCGTCTTTCTTCTTGGGCAAGTTGGACTCACCAGGGAAGGATTGTTTACTTGCCTTCCTGGAGCATGTGTGCCTGGCTGCAGTATTCCGGGCATATGAATTGGTGCAGGGGAAACAAGGCTGGAGTCTCAATATTCAGTATGTAAACACACACTTAATCTCCAATCTGTGAGTTTATGCTTTCTAAAAACAAAAAACAAAAACCATTCTCCTCCTGTTTACAAGAGGAGTGGGGAACACCGGGGAAAGAAGGTGGCTAAAAACCAAGGGAAGCCACCTTTAACCGCGTCCTGAATGAAACATGAATGCATTTTGTCAATGGAATATGGATGGAGAAATGGTGATGAATGTGGCAGGACTGAGGGCGCCATAACAGGAAATACGTAGAAAGGGAAACACAGGTGAGAGGAAAGCCAACCTACTCCAGGAGAAGGAAGAGACAGTCAGAAGAGAGGACCTGCTGCAAGCCTGCATGCAAGGGAGGGACTCCTCCTCCTTCTTCTTGCCCCCCGCTTAGTTACTCTGTCACTAAGTCCTACAGATTCCTAAAATATATCCTCTCCTCTCCACTCCCATTACCACTTCCTCAACTGAGGCTGTCCTCACTTCTCACTGGACTGCGTCTTTTAACTAGTTTCCTCGATTCTAATCTGGGCTGCCTTATCAATACTGCCACCAGACTGAGTTTTCTAAAATTCACATTTGAAAACCTGGATACCCTCCTCCAATTTGTTCCCTGGTAAACATCTAATGGTTCCTTTGCAACTCAGCTCACTCTTTCAACTATTTAGTGACCCCCAACTATATGTCAGGAATCACAAGGCCTTTTGGGGATCCTTCCTTGGCTTGCCAGCCTAATTTGGATGATCTTTTCTGCTACCACTGAACCTCCCCCTCACAGAACTTACTACCTCATGCTCTTCTACAATCACTGACTTACCTGCCTCACTTCCCAATTAGAACACTTAGCTTCTCAGAGCTAGGGTCAAATCGTAGCTATCTCTAGAACTTTTCAGCACTTGGCCTATAGCAGATGTTCACTAAATGTCTGCTGAAAAAAGAATTCTTCAGATTACTCAATTAATGGAAAAATCTAGGACAAAATCTTCTGATAATCATATTTCATGTTTCTCACTTTTCCTGGTGGTTTTCCAGCAATAACACTTTCTCCTAATAAGCTATTCTATTGAAACTAAGACAACTTAGACGAGCAAAGTTCTGGAAGTCTGTTTAATATTGTTCATTCCTACTTTCTATCAACAACAGCAAGAATTACTGCTCTCTGGTTCCAAAGGATGCAGGGCAGCAGATTTTTTAAATGGCTAGGATGGCATGTTCAGAAGGAATTACTCTACAATGGGACAGAGGCCTTGTAAATGGACTCCCCTATTCAAACAATAAGGCACTTAGTATTCTATACCAAGGCCATCATCTGGCCCTGTTTTGGTCAAGGGTATCTCTGAGGAGTTTGAAGGCAAGGAATAATGGGTGGATCCAACCCTGAAATACGTGATGGCAGGCTGCTGACTGGGCTTCTGTTAGTGTTTCAGAGGAAGTCAGGAACCACTCCTTTGAGAGCATCCTCAGGTTGTTACTGTCCTAGCACTCTCTTCCTATGGCAATGAACCCTGGGTCCTTGACTTTGAAGGTATATGAAAAGAGGGAGCTGAGGTAACTGCGGCTACTAGGATGGAGGATGAAACCATTAAGAAATGGAGCACGTGGTGAAAGATATTTGGAAGATCACAGAAAGCCCAGGAACAAAGAAGAGAGAAGAATGTAGCCTGAGCATATAAGAAAGGGAACCAGGGCTGAGCTGCAGAAATCACTGCTAACTCCACCTCCACACACAGCCATTGAAGTAGTTTATAATCACCCTAAAGTATCCCAGCAATTTTTTTCCCCCAGAATCACTAGTAAATAAGTTCAGTAAAAGAAAGTCCTGTTACACAGTGGCTCACACCTGTAATCCCAGCACTTTGGGAGGCCAAGGTGGGAGGATCACTTGAGGCCAGGAGGTCATGACTAGCCTGGACAACATGGTAAGACCCCACCTCTAACAAGAATAACAAGCAAAAAAAAAAAAAAATTAGCCAGGTGGTTGTGCATGACTGTGGTCCAAGCTACTTGGTAGGCTGAGATGGAGGATCACTTGAGCCTGGGAAGTTGAGGCTGCAGTGAGCTGTGACTGCATCACTGCATTCCAGTCTGGGTGATGGAGAGAGACTCTGTCTCAAAAAAAAAAAAAAAAAAAGAAGAAAGAAGAAGAAGAAGAAGAAAGTCATAAAGTCATATTACATAAAAACATGAACTCACAAAATAGCTAACAATTACAGTCGGCCCTCTGTATCTGTGGGTTTCACATTCATGGATTCAAACAACTGCAAGTCAAAAATATTTGGGGAAAAAAACCACCAAAGTCCCAAGAAGCAAATTTTGAATTTACCAGGTGCTGAATACTATGATGAATCCATGTGAATGAGGTGATATGTAGGCTGTATTAGGAATTATAAGTAATCTAAAGACAATTTAAAGAATACAGGAGGATGTCTGTAGATGTAACCTGCTATGCCAAATATTATACCACATCTTATCAGGCAGGAACTTGAGTATCCGTGGATTTTGGTATTCATGGAGGGGTCCTGGAACCAATCCTTTATGGATACTGAGGGATGACTATACTTATTAATCCAGATGGAGTCAACTCAAGTTTTTCTAAAATAGAATCGGATTTCAAAACATTAAAAAACAAAAACAAATTAAAAAAACTTCAGGAATGTGTCTATAATAATAATAATATTTCCAACTACAGATCCTGAAGTACCAATTTATTCAACAAACCTGACTTCTACATGTGAGGCTCCATGCTGGAGGAGAGGGGACCTGTGCAAGAAGGGGACAGAGGGAGACCCTGTCCCTAAGGGTCTTGTAGGTTAATTGTTTACAGAAGGAAAAAGTTGCACGTACTTTCAGGTACAGATAAAGTAACTGAGAAGTCCTGAGGAAGGAAATGACTTTAGCCAGGGGAATCACAGAGGTTATCAGAAGTGACAATGTGAGCACCGCTCTAAATGACAGACAGGGTCTCTGAGGCCAACATCATTCACTTAACGTAGCTCACTGAGGTTTTTGGTCAGTCTGCTCTCTCTGGCACTGTCTTGAGAAGAGGAGAAGTAATTCCACATGGATATTGACGTGAGTTCTCCTGCTCCAGGCTCACCCCACCAGACGAGCCCCCACCATTACCTGTTAGATTGGCCGCCATCTCTTCAGCAGTCTGTGACAGCCGCAGTCCTTGCTTCAGGGGACCATCTGAGTCCACGTACTGCCGGCGTTTGAGGTAGCAGGACACTGCCATCTGAATCTGCTCGGTACGCACTCGTTTCATGACCTTCAAGGGAGGCAACGACAGGATACAGAGACATCAGGGGCCTGGGAGAGCAACCTATCTAACTGCACCATCGCAGATGGGTAGGACACATGGGAGAGAAAGACCAGCCATGTGGCTAAGTGGCCTAGTTAAGACGCAAATCTAAGTTCCCTAATACCAACGTGGTATACTCTTCCATTTTGTCTGTTTCTCCAATGACAATACAGCCAACTTCAATTACAGAAAATAGGAAAAGCATCGATAATAAAGTCCTTAGATCACCCCCAAACTCTGTTTAATACCAAGATTCCAATCAGCCCCATGAAACTTTTCATTAGAGAAGCTAACAAAGAGCAAACAGGGCCAGTCTGAAATTTAGGGCCTTTGATTTCTCCTGCCTACTCTGTGAGAGAGGCGTTAATTAGCAGTGAACTAGCCAAAAAAGCAGGCAGGAGGCAGTGCCAAATCAAAGACCACAGAAACTGGATAAATAGATGTTAACAAAGCATGAAGTTAACAATGGTGAAGGGGATTGTGATATTTTTGCTTAATAGCCAGGAAAAGACTGCCAGCTCTAAGTTAGGGATTTGCAAAATGTGTTTTCATTTTATTTTATTTCATTTTATTTATTTATTTATTTTGAGACAGAGTCTCGCTCTGTCGCCCAGGCTGGAGTGCATTGGTGCGATCTCAGCTCACTGCAAGCTCTGCCTCCTGGGTTCACGCCATTCTCCTGTCTCAGCCTCCCAAGTAGCTGGGACTACAGGCACCCACCACCACGCCCAGCTAATTTTTTGTATTTTTAGTAGAGACGGGGTTTCACCGTGTTAGCCAGGATGGTCTCAATCTCCTGACATTGTGATCTGCCCGGCTTGGCCTCTCAAAGTGCTGGGATTACAGGCGTGAGCCACCGCGCCTGGCCGTGTTTTCATTTTAATTGTATAATATTATTTACCTTTTTTGCTCTTTATTTAAACCACAGGTATAGAAAGGCAGCACAACACTAAGAGGGTATGTATATGTGTTAGCATATGTCTCATAAATTCCTGTAAGAAAGGAAAGTGGTAGGAAGTGACCTGAACAGAAGTAAATTATTTTTGAATAATTCAAGCTAATTTGTAGGTTCACAAAAATAAAAAGAAAAGGGAAAAAGAAAAAAAAAAAAGAGGCACTGTTTCCTTTGACTATTGAGTTTATTATCAACAATGACAGGAACCCCTAGTATTGCCATGGCCTCAAACACTACTTTGCCAGAAATAAATACTGCAGTCCAGATGACCAATGACAGCTGGATGAATTTTGGGGTTCACTTCTGTCATGTAAAACATACTTTCCCCTCCAGGACCAAAATATTGTGTCCATTTTGGAATGCATTTCATGTACGCATACACACACAATCATCCCAACCAAAGTAACATTCTCTAAATCAAGGTTTCCCAGTTGTTTTGTGTGGGAGATCTGTTTTTGATCATTTATTTGGATGTGTTTTAAGTTCTCAGTTTCAGTTACATGCATTAGTATTTTCCTTT
The DNA here is from genome assembly GCF_000001405.40 of Homo sapiens. Lineage (NCBI taxonomy): Eukaryota > Metazoa > Chordata > Mammalia > Primates > Hominidae > Homo > Homo sapiens. The sequence continues at coordinate 229,615,994 of NC_000001.11, forward strand.
GAGAGTTCTACCATTCTTTCATTTTGTTTTATTTTTTTTGAGACAGTGTCTTGCTCTGTCACCCAGACTGGAGTGCAATGGCATGATCTCAGCTCACTGCAGCCTCCACCTCCTGGGTTCAAGTGATTCCCTGCCTTAGACTCCCGAGTAGCTGGGATTACAGGCCCACGCTACCACACTTGGCTAATTATTAAATTTTTAGTAGAGATGGGGTTTCACCATGTTGGCCAGGCTGGTCTCGAACTCCTGACCTCAAGTGACTTGCCTGCCTTGGCCTCTCAAAGTGCTGGGATTACAGGTGCGAACCACCGTGCCTGCTCTTCCATTCTTTTTTAAGATGTAAAATTCCACCTTTTCCGGAAGTCTATTTATTTATTTATATTTTTTTTTTTAGTAGAGAAGGGGTTTTGCTATGTTGTCCAGGGTGGTCTCAAACTCCTGGGCTTAAGCAATTCTCCTTCCTTAGTCTCCCAAATTGTTGGGATTACAGGCATGAGCTACCATGCCTGGTCTTATTTTTCTTTAAACATAAAAAAATTATTTGTATCTAATTTTCGTCCATCTGCAGTTTCTTTTAGTGTATGTGTGGTGAATAACCAAACAAATGTTTTGCCCAGTGACTGTAGCTAACACACTGTCCCAATACCATTTGCAAGTAATTATTTCCTTCTAAACTGATTTGTGGGAGCCCTTTAAAAATATACTCTGAAGACCTACTTTTCAATTCCCTACAAGTCATACAACAGAGCAAACTGTGAAGGCTAGAGACATACTCACAAGTATATATACATGTAAATATAAAATGTTAGGACATTATATATATATTAAACTATATGCCCAGAAAGATTACATTATCTGTGCATTTTATTTCTAGGTTGCCAAAGAGTTCAAAATATTTGTTACAAAGAAGGGGTACTAGGTGTGTGATTGTTAAAAAGAAGGAACACTATGGTTGTGAATCAGTGACATAATGAAACACAATAATAAATTTCCAAATACTGAACTCTCTTCTCACTATGAAATTTACCTTGCTTGGGTATGGTGTATTATTCTCTCACTGTATTGATGACTTAGGTTACTTTTTAATTAAGCTGTTTTTTTAAATTGCTAATACAGGGATTCTGATACTCTGAGAGTGGGGTCCCTGCTCCCATTCTCTGTGGCCACTGATCAGCACTGCTCTATCAGTGATCCTCCAACCTGGCTATACATAAGAATCCCATGAGTGTGTGGATATGTATATAAATAATTTCAGCCCTGCAGATTCTGGTTGTGTTATATTTAGAGTAAAAAAGTTAAATGCACACGGAGGCTGTGACAGTACTGTCCTTTCCCGTGTGGCCCAAAGTCAAGACGAGTCAATCCAACCAGTGCCTCTTCCTATCACTTGCTACAGCTGCTTTTCATCTAACTTCAAGATCTCCTACTCTGCGGGCTTTCCCAAAGCAGCCCAATTCCCTACTCTAGCTGAGACTGAAATCTTTCCGGCTTCCACACTGCCGATCTTTTGCTGACTTGGGAATGCATGCAAATATTGATGCACATCCGTGAGCATTCCAGGCAGATGGGCCTCGATCTCTTAGATCACCTCTGACAGGAAAAAACTCTGCATGTGAAAGACATGTGAATGACTGATCTGGAGAACAGGCTCTGCAATGACACAGTGTCCTCAAGGTGCGACAATATACCTATGTGTCTGAGGAGGAAGGGAAAAGATGTGAAGTTAGGAAAGAGTAAACAGAACGGAGTAAGAATGAATGATAGTCAACACTGACCATATTTAAGATTGCTAGAAACTAGTCTGTAATACTGATTCTAACAAATATGCTTAAATTAGCTGCCCCAAATAGCAATTTCTCTGAGTCCAAACTACCATTTATGATAAGGGCGCTTCCCTGAGGGTGGGTGGTGAATCAACTGTATGGCCATGGATCTTAAGGGCAGGAATTCTGGCAATGACTCTCTTGCATAACCACGCTAAACTCAAATACTAGAGACACGACCCAATCAACTCAGCTGGGTTTTATTCCAATGTACATATATTTCAAGTGACATGGATAATTAATGAACCTGAGATAAATCGGTCCCCTCCACCCAGACTGATTTCCAGAGTACTAATATCCAAAAAGGGACAAGTGAAGAAAAAAAACTCTCCTTAAACTAGACCTAAGTCTCTGGAGAGACTCATACATGAGACGAACAGTGCAGTTTCGTTACCTGCCTAGCTTTTCCTATAATTATAAAATCTTTCAAACTGAAATTGGATTTAAATATAATTATACTCTTTGTTAACATTTCAGAATTTCTCATCATTTTCAATTTATATAAAATACTTAACTTTCAGAGGTAAAAACAGATGTCAAATACTCTGCTCTTCATATCACATTATTGATATTTCTGGAAATCAAAAATTTCTGGAGGATTTTGACACAATGTATATCTATTCTCATGTATCAACAGTTGCCAGATTGGTATTTCTGGAAATCAAAAATTTCTGGAGGATTTTGACACAATGTATATCTATTCTCATGTATCAACAGTTGCCAGATACTTCAACCAAGTTGCTATATAAAATCCCACATGATCATTTCAATGTAACAACTCTGCAGGGAAAACCACAGCCACACTTAACATTCAACTACAGAAACATGGGGAGGTGGAGATACATGGAACCCAGGCATCCTCTTAAGATGCTGTCAGTGTGGAACTCTAGTCTGGTCAATCCCTTCAGTGGTTACACGCTGCATCCTATCCCTCCACCCCCACCCCCGTTAGGCTCTAATGTACACGGTCGGTAGAGGAGGGCTGGGAGGCACCCTCATCCACCATATCACAGGTTAAAGTACTACACAGTTCCACGAAATGCCAAAAGAGTACTACCTGGCTCCCCCATCCCTCCCCCTGCCCCAATAAGGTGGCAGTTTTGAGTAGGGGTGAGTTCAAGATAAATTCAGGCAAACTCACTACACAATCCTCAAATCAGCTCTTCAACTGAGACTTCTGACTGTTGGCTTTTGAGTAATTGTATCTTTTTTCCAATGGCAAATTTATGTTTATAACAGAAGAAAAAAATTATTTTTTTGCATTTTTTTGTAAAGTGTCTACTAGGTAACTCAAGTTATTAGTTCTCTTCACTCACAGCAACTAAATGGTTGTAACATCAAAAGATCAGTCTAAGTAGGACCTAAAGCCCTAGCTTTGCATTAATCATCATGATAAAGTGTATTCAATAAGCTTTGTGAAAATATAAATCACAACTGAAAAATAAATGAGCCATACTACTTTCAGTTTCAGTCATACCTCATATAATTTAAAAATTATGATAGCCTTTCATATTCAATCTTTGCTCAGACTGACATAAATACACTTGAACTAGAAGCTGTGTTTTTTCCCATGGTGTCCTAAGAAATAAAATGGCACATGGATAAGGCCGTAGCTGGGCTCAGGACGCAGTGAAGAATGTGGCGTTTTGGTGGGGATGGCAGCAGTGGTAGAAAGTAGGTGGAAATCACGAAATCCAGCAAACAGATGTCATGAGAAGTAGATTTTCTCCAACATCAGCTGGGACCTCCATGATGTTCCAGAAGTCTTGTTTCATCAACTACTTACCCTACAGCCTTCCACCTACGCTATTCTAAACCTTCACCAGTCTCCTCACCCAGCCAGCTGACCCTGCTTCTGACCTCAGTGGGCTACTGAGACTTGGGATTCCTTAACTTTTTGATCTAACCAGTCACTTTCCAGCACCACCCTTCACGATCTCTCAGCTGGATGTGATGCTGCTGAACTCACCTCCTACTTGAAACTCTCTTGGTCCCTCCCACTGCAAGCCTCTCTTGTGGCTCTGCCCTCCCATTACTGTCTGCCACTGCTTCTTCACATTCCCGGCTTCACCACACCACCATGCAAGACTTACAGTCAGACCACCTTCCTCAACTCAGTCAATTAACAGACATTTCCACCTGCAATACCTCTTCCTTCTCCCGGTTTTCTTAGCCGGCTTAATGGTGCCACTATCCACCATTAAAGCAAAAACAAAACAAAAGAAAACAAAACAACCAAAAAGCCAGTCATGATAAAATTCTGTTCTCTCTCTCCCTTACTTCAAAGAGGCCACCAACTCCTATTCTAAATGGGAATTCTCTCTCAACTTAAAAAAAAAAAATTGCGGCTAGTGCAACTCAACCATTTCTGCTACCCCATCTTGACTGTTTGCTATTTGACAGCACAAATTGCTTCTCGCTCTCTTTAGAGAAGTGGTCTGGCTATATTGCCCAGGCTGGTCTCCATCCTCTGGGCTCATGATCCTCCCAGCTCAGCCTCCCAGGTAGCTAGGATTACAGGTGTATGCCACTATGCCCGACTCTACAAATCACTTCTCAACTGGACTATTCCAATATTCTTCCACCTTTAGGCCCTCCTCATATGGCCCTTTGAAAAGCAGCCAAAGTACATGACAAATCTAATGATGTTACAACCAAGCCTAAATCACCCCAACCCTCATGCAGGTTGTCCCCTCTTGCCATCACTCTTCCTCAGTTCCCCTAAACAGATGGAGAGTTCCCTGAGGACAGGCCTTATCTTTGAAACTCATCATAAAAATAACGTGAGTGCTATCTAGCTTCTTGGAATTCTTGAGAGTTTATTTTAAGCTCGTGATCTTTTTGAATTTCTACTTTAATACTGTTTTACAGCACAGAAAAACTGCTTTTCTATACAAAATCTTATTAACATGGAAGAGTGTGGCACAATCTACAGAATGGCTCTTTACATTACTTACTATGCTTGACTACATAAAGAAAACTTTCACAAATGCTCTATTTGCAAACACCACTGCAGACAGAAATAGGATGTCCTGTTCTCAAAATAAGGGATAAGACGTTTTCCCATGCTTATCACTGTTCCTGAAACTGAATTCAAATGCAGTACATGAGGATTTGAAGACGCTTCATTAAAACATTTATGTGTGTGTGTGTGTGTGTGTGTGTGTCTCAAAGTGGATGGAATGATCTTCAATTTTTCATTCCAGAGCAGTACTGTCCAAGAGGACTTTTGGCAAACGACGGAGGTGTTGTAAGTCTGCACTGTTCACAACAGTAGTCACTGGCCACACAGGGCAATTGGGCAATGAAAATATGACTAGTGCAACTAAGGAACTGAATTGTTTTAACTAATTTTAATTTAAGTAGTCATAAGTGGCCAATGATTACTGTATTGGACAACAGAGTTCTACAGAATGACATTACCTGGTGAAACTAATGCATCAGCATCTTGGCTTAAAAAAGTTAATTCACAAAGTTTTGCATAACACTTCTGCTTACTAATGACAAAGTCTCCAAAAGTTAGTATTTTGTTTTAAAAACACAGCTACCTTTTATTATTGCCAAACATTGTGAAGTTATTAACATACCCATCCACCTTGATACACCTTACTGGGAGGATATCTTCTTTGACTACTAAACAATTATAAATGGAAGTATTTTATAGTGTTTTCTAAACACTGACAATATACAACACTCTTCAAATCTTCTGTAAATTAAAAAATAGGAAGGAAAAAGACAATTTGCTTCAGTGGAGAAACAGCAGCTAATTTCTTTCTGTAAAATGTCCAACTAAAAGGTAAGCCCAAACCTATGACTACCTTACCATACCAATAAGAAAATTAAAAAGAAAACATTTTAGTCAACTTTAATTTAAAAAAAGAGAAACTCTGAGGGTTACAGATGAAAATCAAATGTCTAACTATAATCTCTATTAATTTACACATATCTAAAATATATAAGGCAATATATTAATTCACTAAAGAAATTCACTCCAACTGTTCATGAATATCTTAAACACCAGTGTCTGTGATGAATTAAGCCACTATGAATCATCAAATTCCATTTCCAGAGCACTTTACCTTTCCCATCTACTAAATCAGTTACAATAAAGCACGTCTTAAATCCATATACTCCTGCTGGAAATCTCAACCCAAGCCATCAATGCCTGTTCGGGTGAGCAGAACTTCTTTTCATTCATCATCATCTATCTATCTATCTATCTATCTATCTATCTATCTATCTATCTATCTATACAGATAGATATATATAGATATACAGATATGTGTGTGTATATATATTATACATACATTATGTTTTGCATTTAACACTTGCACTTTGTGATACCCCCCACCCCCATCAGGAAGAATGACTTAATGACTGAATCTTTCCTATTTTTTTGTTTCACTTATTTGGTAAGATTGAATAAATATCCCAAACTAGCACCAGCTGAGGTTGCTCCAGTTGTTCCAGCCCATTATGTCCTTCCCAAACAGCACCTTGTTGTTCAAAATAGACTGAGAAAGAGTGCCCTGTAACAGGGGAGCCCCAAACATGAGACTTTTGGGGGAAAACCTTGCTTGTGATCAAGCATATACAATACATACTTGAAGATAATTTTTAAGAGGGAAGGCTGCCTGGTTTCTTCATGCTTTCTGTAAGTGCTGTCTAAGCTTTGAGATTTGGAATAAAATGCCCAACTCTACTACCATTTTCCTTTTGAAATCACGGGCAGATAGGGAACTGCCAAGACTTTATCTTAATAAAAAATAAAAGTAAAATAAAATAAAAATAAAAGTCTTTCTTTTTAATTTTGAAATAAGGTCTTGCTCTGTCACCGAGGCTGGAGTGCAGTGGCACAATCACAGCTCACTGCAGCCTTGACTGAGCTCAAAGATCTTCCTGAGTCAGCCTCCTCAGCAGCTGGGGCTACAGGCATGCCCACCATCACACCTGGTTAGTTAAAAAAAAAATTTTTTTTTGTAGAGACGGAGTCTCACTACGCTGCCCAGGTTGATCTCAAACTCCTGTGCTCAAGTGATCCTCCGAAAGTGCTGGGATTATCGGCATGAGCCACCACACCTGGCCCTACTTTAAACATAATACTATACTACTATAGGCACAATCTTTCCAAGGAGCTAATCTGATGTTATCTCTGCTAAGCTTAAAAACATTTACTGCCGCCGGGCACGGTGGCTCGGGCCTGTAATCTCAGCACTTTGGGAGGCTGAGGTGGGTGGATCACCCGAGGTCAGGAGTTCAAGACCAGCCTGGTCAACATGGTGAAATCCCATCTCCACTAATACAAAAATTAGCCAGGCATGGTGGTGCATGCCTGTAGTCCCAGGTACTGGGGAGGCTGAGGCAGGAGAATCGCTTGAACCCGGAAGGCGGAGGTTGCAGTGAGCCAAGATCACGCCATTGCACTCCAGCCTGGGCAACAAGAGTGGAACTCCGTCTCCAAAAACAAAACAAAACAAAACAAAATACTTTCTACTGCCTCCACTAGTGTGAAGGATAGAAAAATTGAGTGTCTACTGTGTCATTTCCAGGTTGCTCTAATCTGCCTGTTTACCTCACTGGACCAATCCTTGGTTCTTCTTACTCTACTGGTGGGTCCCACTCCACCTTCTCCCCTCAGGGGCCCTCCAGTAGTTGGAGGCACTGCCACACTGGCACTACAACCTGGTTTGGCTAAATCCCACCCGCACTTCGCAGCTCAGCTTAGCCATGTCTTCCTCCCAAAAGCTTCCTTGATCACAATCCCTTCCACACACGAACCCAGGAACAAATCTGTCACAGAACTTACCCTATTCTTGTCTGTTTCATACACTACCACTACGAATACTTAACACTGAGCATACTCGACGCTAAGACACTTAAAGCATTTAAAATTAAGTGCTTTACATAGACTGCCTTCTTTAAGCTCACAACAAACCTATGAGGTAGGTAACGTTCTTCAGATGGGAAAGCTGAGGCGCAAAGAAGTTACACAGTGCCAGGATGGGAACTCAGGACACCTGGCTGAAGGGTCTGAGCTCTCACCTTCTACAGCATCTTGCTGCTCAAAGGATTCTACATGTGACCAGGGGCTTCCTGAGGGAGCACAACAATGAATGCTTACTAGAAGCTTGCTGAGAGAATGATCAGAACACTTACTACCTGAGAAGCCACCAGTCACATACAAGACAGGCTGGAAACGTGACTTCTAGTACTGTCCACTGAGTAATACTGGTTTAACAGATGACCCCTAGAGCTCCCTTCCAGCAAAACAAATTAGCAGAAACAAAACCCCCTTTCTTTCCCCAGAGATGTCCTTCACAGGTGCTAATATATTGCTTGCAAAACCAAAAACCAGTTACTGAGTAGTTAAGTGAGGCCTTTACCTAGTTTCACAGTGACAGAAGCTCACATAAGCCTCACATTTACAGGCAGGAGCAACAAAACTATTCCAAGATACACTAATTTAATTTGTTGTTGATGACAAAGAAAAATACTCAAAACAAGCCCACCTTTTAATTTTCTAGCTTAGCGCTGATTTTTAAGGCAGGAAGAATTTACGATTCATTAAAAAATTAGCATATATTCCATTTAACGCAAAAACTTAGGACTACAGGGAACCTAGAAGGTATTTTGCCAAAAAGGAAACGATAATAGCTAACATTTAGCTATTTTCATACACATCATTCTTTTTCTGGGTACCTTTAAAAAGGTCGTTTTTTGGGAGGCTGAGGCGGGAGGACTGCTTGAGCCCAGGCCTGGGCAACATAGAGGCACCCTGTCTCTTAAAGATAAAAAAAAATCCACGTTTAAGTTATTCCTTATCATCGCATTTTATAGATGAGGAAACTACAGTTCAGAGAGGTTATGCAGATGGCTACATGGTTTCCATCCTAGGTCTACTGTCACCAAGCTCTATCCACTACATTATGCTGTTCCAAAGTTTAAAGATGTGGCCAGATGCATTTAACCTATTAAGCACAAAACTCCCTTTCCTACTCCCCCTTCCAAGTAGAGCTGTGACCAGGAACTGGGGCACAGCCTCCGTGTCCTCCCCTACATCCCCAACTCAGGTGTTGGCACACTTGAATCGCCTGATATAAGACACGCTCCGCACTTAATGTTCCTCTCAGCACAGCTCCCAACTGCTTGTTAGCAGGAGTCACCATTCCGAGATTCCAATCTGCAAGGTCAGTTTAGGTACAGTAATTTAAGACAGACACTGCATGGGACTGGCACTTACCTTCTGATCCCAGAACCACAAAGACTGCGAGATCCGCATTACAACGACTTTCACAACTGATGGGAGAACTGCATGTAGCGTTCCTGCACTCCACTTCCGCTAAGTCTAAAATGACACCACTGTTTCTAACCATCCACTCACTTCGGACCAACGCCTTATCGAATACATTTTCAAAAGCCTGGCAGCTTCGCGAGCTGGAGGTGGTGAACCCGTCCCACACCATGGGCGCACCAACCTTACCTTGCTGTCATGAGGCAACGAGCCCCGAGAGACACCCTTGCAGGTAAGCACTCTCCTGCAGCAGCTAGTCTAACTCTGGCTCCCCCGTGTCACACGCGGAGATCGACTCCACACCCACCCACGCACGATCACCATGTGCAAAGTTGAATCCCGACTTCGCCGCAAAGACATTTCCTTTTCCCCTACATGCAAAGGAGCTGTGGAGCCGTGCTCCCTGCTTGGCTGTCGGGCACTGGGATACCTTCCCCGCGGGCGCCCGCCACCTCCTCCCCGAGCCCGGCATCCAACCCGCAGGACCCACCCCTGCGCAGGAACGCGACGCCAGTCCAGGTGTAGCCGCCGACTGCAGGCCACGCCGCCGGCCGCAGCCCGGGACTCGGGAGGCCGAGGGCGGAGGCGCGGCCGTCGCGCCCGCGCAGAGCCGCCCGCCGCCCCCCAGCCCCGCCTCCCGCGCCCCACCCCCACCGCCCGCCGGCGGGAGCCAAGGCGCGCCCCGCCGAGGCCCCACCGCCCCGGCCCCCGCCCGCCCGCGCGCGCGCGCGCCTCGCGACCCTCCCGGCCCTCCCCGCCCGTGCTCCCGGCACTCACTGAACATCCCAGGCGGCTCCGGCTCCCCCCGCCGCCGCCGCCTCCGGGATCGGGTTGCTTCCGCCTCCGTCGTCTCTGCCGCAGGGTCTCACTCCGACGGCCGGCTCAGCTGGGCCCCCGCGCCCCGCGCCCCGCCGCCCCCGCCGCCGCTCTGGGCGGCCGCTCCATGACTGACTGACACGGAGCGGGCCGCGGGCTGGGCCGCTCGGGCCTCCAACGCGCAACCGTCTCCGCCAATGGGCGAGGCGCCTCGGCGCTCGGCTGGCGACGCCTGGCGTGCGTGCAGCCCCTCCCCGCTGCGCCGCCGGCGTCCGGCGGAAGGAGCGCGGGTACCGGTCCCACGTGGTGGGGACGCGGGACCCGTACAGCGGCCTCCGCCGCACCGGGACAGCAGCCGCCGCCGCTGCCGCCGTCCTCCCCTGTCTACCCGGAGCTGTCTCGAGCTGAGCCCCCTACCGGGCCGGATCCCGAGGTGAGTCCCCCACCTGCGGTCAGCCCCTGCGGGCAGCCAGGTCCCGAGGTGAGTCCCCCCACCCGGGGCTGGTCCAGAGGAGATCCCCCTACCTAAGGCCGGGCCCAGATGGGGGGCCCCCCAACCCTGCCCAGTTCCGGTGCCGCCAGCAGACTCTGGGCTGGAGCGGCTTCGGCACGCTCCATTCGCGAAGGCGAACTCCCTCCTGGCTCCTAGCTGCTCTCCCCTGGTTCTTGTTGCTTGGTCTCTTTCTGCTGGGCAGGGAGTGCTGGCAGGGCTGTGCTGTCCGCCCTGGACTTCGCATTGCCCGGTAAGGGCGGTTGGAGGCCCGGAGAGCCGAACTCTGGCGGAGCCGGGGAGAGCATCTCGGTTGTCTTTGTAGCCAGTTCAGCAAACACCTGTTATGCACTTTGTAGCTGTCGCGATGGCGGTTCTATGGTATTGAACTTAGAAAGTCAGGCATCGTTGAATTCGTTTTGGACATTTTGACAAAATAGGAAAACTGACAGCACTTGACGTTCTTGTTCTCTGCAGTAGAGTGAAGGATAACTTAATTTCTAAAATGAAAACGTCTTAACGTTCCTTTTTACTATAACTTTTAGGAAACTCAAAGCCAAGTTTACCCAGTTTAATAGTAACTGTAGGTGTTTGGTATGTTTGCTACCCCCGAGATTTCATGGTTTTTTGTTTTCTATTTTTAGTCTTTTCCTTGTGCAAGTATCTCTTGTAGAGTCTTTTTTGAAGTGTATGTGCGTTGTAAATTTATACACGACTGAATAAAAGTGTTAGTGGAAGGTTACTGTTGCAGCTGAAATAACTGTATTCCTTTGGGGTTTTCTTTTTCACTTGGAGACATATTACTTTCTCCGGATATTGCTTATGTATCTTTTCCTCTTTCAATTTGAAACCATGTATGAATGACTCTTTCCACAAGTAATGTAATCACTGATTTTGGCCTTGTTGAATTCCTGAACACTCACCTTTGTGGAAGTGATGTTTGATCATAGCTGGAATACATATAGTCCATCTTCTGTGTGTGCAGTCCATCTTTTGCTTGCTTTTGTCTGAATTTCCCCCAGAAAATTCTGGAGTCAAGCATCTTGTATGTAGATTTACCCCGACAAATCTGTTGATTCATTAAAAACTTTTAAAAGAATACATATTAGGTAAACAAGATACAGTACTGCAATACTGTTGGTTTTCTGGTGCCTGCTCAGTCTGACATTGTTATAGTATTTTTTTTCCCATTGTTTTTAAATTTTAGATAAAGCCTAGCCATGGCTGCTGTTTATTCTGGCATTTCCCTTAAGCTTAAAAGCAAGACAACTTCCTGGGAAGATAAACTAAAACTAGCTCACTTTGCTTGGATTTCTCACCAGTGCTTTCTTCCAAATAAAGAACAAGTAAGTTTAATGTGAAACTCATATTTTTACAGTCTGTCAAGATAATTATCACTTTTATAATTTGGATATTGACAATTGGTTAAAATAAAAAAATAGAGAAAAAGTTGGGGAGGGAACTTTGTTGGAAGTTAAATGTAATGTCAATGAAAAAAGTAATGAGTCAGGTACTTCATTAATACATTTTTTTTTTCTGTTAAAAAACCTCATTTAGGTCGGGGACAGTGGCTCATGCCTGTCATCTCTATTTTGGGAGGCCAAAGCGGGGGATCGCTTGAGGCCAGGAGTTCTAGACCAGACTGGACAACATAATGAGATCCCATCTCTTAAAAAAATTATATATATTATATATGTATATATATGTATATATACATATATAATATATATATAATATATATAGTATATGTATAGTATATATGTATATAATATATATAATATATATGTATATATATTATACATATACATATTATATATGTATATATATTATACATATACATATTATATATGTATATAAATTAGTCAGACATGGTGGCATGTGCCTGTAGTCCTTACTACTTGGGAGGCTGAGGTGGGAGGATCCCTTGAGCCCAGGAGTTTGAGGCTGCAATGAGCTATGATTGTGCCACTTTCACTCCCAGCCTGGGCGATAGAGCAAGACCTTGTCTCTTTAAAATAAATGAACCCACCGAATTTAGCATTTCTTTTGTTTGGAGACATTATATTACAAACTAAGTATATGCATTAATGAACACATTGGGAATTAAGTTACAGAAGTTAGGTTCTGAAAGTCCATTGATAGCTGCATTTGCTTATAAATCCAAAGTGATGTTTCTTAAACTGTTGGTTGGTGGTGCTTTGTTAAAAGTCTTCCGCATTGGATAAATTGAAGGTTGGGAAGTAGAGAAATGTTAGTATTTGTATAAAGCCATTTTAGAAATGGGCTAGGTACCAAGAAAGGCATTGCATTTTGTTAGAATTTCTCAGGCTTTTTAGGCTAAAAATTAGTTGGCATGATAAACACCAGGATGACAAGCTCATGAAATTGGATTAATACACATCCAGTTGCTGTTGTCAAGGAAGACAGCACAAAATGCTTCCAAGATGGATGACATATGTAAAGCGATGATGACGTGTGGTGTGGAGAGCAGCGGTCATATCCAGTGCTTTCTACACCTGGCTGCACTTGGGAGTCATCTTGGCAGCGTGGCCATCACCTGGCAGGTGCTGCCCAGGGTGAAACAAAGGGGAGGCTCTAGCAGCCAATTGGATCAAGGTTTCTGCTGTTGTTATACTGAGAGATTTTATTCCTTCTGGCATCTGTCACTATTCATACTGTTATTGACAGTTCTGGGATTGTGAGCTTTCTTCAATGTTTTGTGAAGAGGAAACATGACACGTAATGGAACCTGTATAGATAGGCACAGTCCTCCTTTTCATAAAGCACTTGTATGATTTCATATCAACTGTGTCTGTCTCCCAGATGATGTATAAATATTAGTAGTATTAGAGGTTAAGCTGTAGGTAATGTGGGGGAAGCCAGGACACAAATCCCAGACTTTCAACTCTTAACTTACTTTTTTGCTTCGTGTGTCTGATACATTCTGTGGTCATTCTGAGCAGTCTTTGTATTTCTAACTTTTAGAACTTGGTACATGCATATCTCAGAGATACTGCAGGTTTGGTTCCACGTCACTGAAATAGATCACAATATTGTGAGTCACAGAAATTTTTTGGTTTCCTAGTGCATATAAAATTTATGTTTATACTATACTGTGGTTTGTTAAGAATGCAATAGCATTATGCCTAAAAAAAGTACATATCTTAATTTTAAAAAATTGCCCAAAAATGCTAGTGGTTATTGGTTATCTGAGCCTTTAGGGAGTCATCATGCTGGAGGGTCTTGCCTTAATGTTGATGATCTGGGTAGTGATTGCTGAAGGTTAGGGTGACTGGCAACTTCTTAAAATAAGACAACAGTGAAGTTTGCTGCATTGATGGAGCTTTTCCTTTCATGAAAGACACAGCATTTTACCCACAGTAGAACTTCTTTCTAAATTGGACTTCTCAAAACCTGCCACTGCTTTATCAACTAAGTTTAAGTTCTATTCTCAATCCTTTGTTGTCATTTCAGCAATGTTCACAGCATCTTCACCAGGAGTAGATTCCATCTCAAGAAACCACTTTCTTTGCTTATCTCTAAGAAACAACTTATCCATTCAAGTTTTATTAGTCCCATCTTCAGGCTCCACTTCTAATTCTAGTTCCCTGGCTATTTCCATTATATATGCAGTTGCTTCCTCCACTTCAGTCTTGAGCCCTTCAAAGTCATCCATGAGGACTGGAATCAGCTTCTTCCAAACTCCTGATAATGTTGATATTTTGACCTCTTTCCATGATTCAGGAATATTTTTACTGGCATCTAGAGTGGTGATTCTTTCCAGAAGATCTTCAGTTTGACTTTCTCCACATCCGTCAGAGAAATCACTATGGCACCTATAGCATTAGGAAATGTGTTTCTTAAATAATAAGACTTGAAAGTCAAAAGTACTCCTTGATCATGGGTTGCAGAATGGATGTTGTGTTAGCAGTCATGAAAACAACATTCATCTCCTTGTACATCTCCATCGGAGCTCTTGGTCACCCAAGAGCAGTAATCTTCTTATAGGAATCTTTTTGTTCTGATCAGTCTTGACATGAGCTTAAAATCTTCAGTAAACCATGCTGTAAACGGATATGCTGTCATTCAGGCTTTGTTTTTCCATTGACAGAGCACAAACAGAGTAGATTTAGCATAATTCTTAAGGGCCCTGTGATTTTGGGGATGGTAAATGAGCACTGGCGTCAAAGTTACCAGCTGCATTAGACCTTAATAAGAGAGTCAGCCTGTCCTTTGAAGCTTTGAAGCCAGGCATTGACTTCTCTTCTCTAGCTATGAAAGTCCTAGATGGTAGCTGGGCACAGTGGCTCACGCCTGTAATCCCAGCACTTTGGGAGGCCAACGCAGGTGGATCACCTGAGGCCAGGCGTTCGAGACCAGTCTAGCCAACATGGCGAAACCCCTAAAAATAAAAAAAAATTAGCCAGGCATGGTGGCGGGCACCTGTAATCCCAGCTACTCAGGAGGCTGAGGCAGAAGAATCGCTTAAACCTGGGAGGTGGAGGTTGCAGTGAGCCGAGATCGCGCCATTCCACTCCAGCCTGGGTGACAAGAGCGAAACTCCGTCTCAAAAAAAAAAAAAAAAAAAAAAAGAAAGTCCTGAATGGCATCTTCCAATAGAAGGCTGTTTCTTCTACTCTGAAAATCTGTTGTTTAGTTTAGCCAACTTCATCAGTGATTTTAGCTCGACCTTCTACATAACTTCACCTGGAACTTTTATGTTATGAAGATGGCTTCTTTCCCTAAACTTCATGAACCAACCTCTGGTAGCTTCTAGCTTTTCCTCCGCAGCCTCCTTACTTCTCTCAGCCTTCATAGAATTGAAGAGAGTTAGGGCCTTGCTCTGGATTAAGCTTTGGCTTAAGGGAATGCTGTGATTGGTTTGATCTTCTATCCAGACCACTAAAACTTTCTCCATATCAGCAATAGGCGGTTTCACTTTCTATCATTTGTTGTTCACTGGAGTAACACTTTTAATTTCCTTCAAGAACTTTTCCTTTGCATTCACGATTTGGTTAATTGGCTCAAGAGGCTTGGTTTTGGTCTATCTCACCTTTCAGCATGCCTTCCTCACTAAGCTTAATTATTTTTAGCTTTGGATTTAAAGAGACATGCAGCTAGTCCTTCCACTTGAACACCTGGAGGCCATTGTAGGGTTAGCTGGCCTAATTGCAATATTATTGCGTCTCAAGGAATAGGAAAGCCAGAGGAGAAGGAGAGAGGGGAAAATAGCCCGTCAGGGTAATAGCATTTTGGTGGAGCAGTCAGGATGCATAGAACATTTATTGATTAGGCTTGCTGACTTACAAGGACACGGTTCATGGTGCCCCAAAACAATTAGAATAGTAACATCAGTGATCACTGGTCACAGAGTACCTTAACAAATATAAGAATGGAAAAGTTGGAAATACTGGGAGAATTACCAAAATGTGGCAGAGACATGAAGCAAGCACATGCTGTTGGAATAAAGGATCTGATAGACTTGCTTGGCACAGGGTTGCCATAAACCTCCAATTTGTAAATGCAATATCTGTATCTACAAGGCACAATAAAATGAGGTATGCCTGTATAACCTCAAAAAACGGGTTAAGACGTGTTAGTTTCACCTGAAACTTTTAATTTGCCCTAGCTGAAGACAAATTTGTTGTTTTCCTGTTCTTATCCTTTAATAATAAACATTTTAAAATACCAGAACACGTAAGTAATATTATCAAAGGTAAGTTGTAAAAGAGAGGTTCTCCCCCGCCGCCCCCGTGGCAATTGGATTTGCTTATACCTGTAATGTCCCTATAATGTCTAACATCTTTCTCTCAGCAAATAAATTTATTTTCAGTGTATGTGTCCTTCAAATTCAGGTGTTACTTGATTGGGCAAGACAATCATTGGTTGCATTTTATAAGAAAAAGCTTGAACTGAAGGAAGATATTGTTGAAAGGCTTTGGATCTATATAGATAACATTTTACATAGCAGAAAATTGCAGAATCTCCTCAAGAATGGAAAGACCATTAATCTTCAGATTTCCCTAGTCAAGGTAATTCACTTTTCTGTTCTGTATGTGTTGCATGCATCTCCATTGATTTCTTGTTAATGCTGGAAACTTGTTTTAGTGTCAATTGTATGAAGATATAGGAAATACTAAGGTAGGAGAAAAAGGATGTAATATTATTGGAATTAAAATAGTAACTATTGAATGTGTATCATATGCTCTAAGCATTTTGTTATTTAATATTCAAAAAAAGCTTGGAACGATTTCATAAACAGGTCATTGATTACCTTTTTAATTGGAAAAGGTAGCTAGCAAATTATGCTTCTCTGATTTGTTTTTCTTCTTCTTTACCTTTCTTTTGGGCTAGAGGGAGATCAAAGGCCAAAATCCGGACAGGAATTTCCTCAAAGGTTTTTTTTTTTTTTTTTTTTGCCACTACGGCCTTCGAGCCACAAGTGCCACTAGTGGCTTGGCCGGCAACCCGGGGCCACCTCAGTTTTTGACTGAAAGTGATTTTGAAGTCTCAGATCAGAAGTAGGAACTTCATTGTCAAAACTGAGTGTGTTTAAATACCATGAGAATAGCTAGATACAATAAAAACTACTACTAGTGAGCACTTCATGTGTGCCAGGCTCAAAGAAGTTTAACTTTCCTAAAGTCACATGGCTAGTTAGTGGCACAGCTGGGATTTGAACCTCACTCTGCCTGAGTGTAAATCCTGGGCTATGAAGCCATAACACTGCCTCACCCTCATGAGTGTGCGGGCTGAGAGAAAATCGTTAGAGGCTAGTAACGGAGGGGAACGAAGGTTGAGCTGCCCAATGGCGCATAGGGCTTAATGGTTCTTGAGATTGTGTTCCAAACTGGGTCACTTTTTAAAATAATAAACCAGTGGTCACCAAAGTGGCTTATTTCAAAGGATCTTTTGGAATATGGGAAGAAAATCTTAGAATGTCTCCTTGTTTAAAAAGCCATACTTAAATTTTATTTTTATGTATGCTTCATAATTATATAAAATGTTAGTGCTGCAGCATATGTGCATAATTTATAAATAAATTACACTTATTGAATATAAATGCAGGAAAAATCGATGAGTTGTATCATCATCAAAAATTTGGAGATCACTGTAATAGTGCATTGACATTTAAGGATTTCTCATCTTTGTTACAGCGTTTCCAGAGTAACTTTAAAAGCCAGCAATTACTTGAATAGAAATTATAATACCTATCTCATTAGGGCACTGATAACTTAGCACCTGGGATAGGTTTGGTTCTCAGATTCCATAAGGCTGGGAGCAAGTAACTTAACCTGTGACTGAATTATAGAATCTGCCTGATTCTCATAATTTCTGGTGTTTGTGAATTTTGGAATTTTGAGAGCAGTAGACAATAGATTTGCTGTATAATAAGCAGTAGCAACATAACATTTGCTTTCCTTTTTAAAAAATTTTTTTGAGATAGAGTCTCTGTCACCCAGGCTGGAGTGCAGTGGTGTGATCTTGGCTCACTGGAACCTCTGCCTCCTGGGTTCAAGCGATTCTTGTGCCTCAGCCTCCCGAGTAGCTGGGACTACAGGTGTGCACCACCATGCTCGGCTAATTTTTATATTTTTAGTAGAGATGGTGTTTCACCATGTTGACCAGGCTGTTCTCGAACGCCTGGCCTCAAGTGATCCGCCCCGACTCAGCCTCCCAAGGTGTTGGGATTACAGGCATGAGCCACCATGCCCAGCTGCTTTCCTTTTTAAAAGAGTGCCTTTTGCTTTGGCTTTTTTAAATAGAAAAAGTATAATTGACTATAAACATGCATTTTTTTTTCTTTTTTCAGACAGGGTCCCGCTCTGTCACCCAGGCTGGAGTGCAGTGGCTCGATCCCAGCTCACTGCAACCTCTGCCTCCCAGGTTCAAGCAGTTCTCCTGCCTCAGCCTCCCAAGTAGCTGGGATTACAGCTGCCTGCCACCATGCCCGGTTAATTTTTTCATTTTTAGTGGAGTCAGGTTTCACCACGTTGGCCAGGCTGTTCTCAAACTCCTGACCTCAAGTGATCCGCCTGCCTCGGCCTCTCAAAGTGCTGGGATTACGGGTGTGAGGCACTGTGCCTGGCCTATAAACATGTATTTTGGACCACAAGATCATAATTTAAGTGCAACTTTCCCTCTGCCTGGTAACATCTAAGCTCAATTGCAGGTTTAGGATCTAAGAGAAAGTGACATTTGGTATTTAAGCCCTTTAAAACCCAGCTTTAAAAAAAGGGACAGCAAATTTACAAAGGCACGGATCCTTTTCTAGATTTGCATTGGTAGAAGATGGATGGGTGGAGGAATTGAAACAGATGCTTTGCCTTATTTTGATGCACTAAGCTTATGTCAGGTTCATTGAAATATGGTAATCTGGGCATTTCTTTCTTACCAAGATGAGGGAAAGGGGTGAGTTTGTTGATTTTTTTTTTTAATACTTTTCTTGTGTATGTATGGGTTTAAGGTCAGTAATGAATTTTCTTTCTTTCTTAATGTTCAGATCATCAATGAGAGAGTAGCTGAGTTCTCTCTTTCGGGATCCCAAAGAAACATCTGTGCTGTCCTTCGATGTTGCCAGGGCATCCTGTCGACACCTGCCCTGGCTGTCATCTACACGGCCAAACAGGAGCTGATGGTGGCCTTGCTGAGCCAGCTTTGCTGGTCGGCCTGCAGGCAGCCCGAAGGAGCTGTGGTAGCCCAGTTGTTTGAGGTCATTCACCTGGCCCTTGGCCATTATCTCTTGATCCTGCAGCAGCAGGTCAACCCAAGACGTGCCTTTGGGGATGTGACTGCTCACCTGCTCCAGCCGTGCCTGGTCCTGAGGCACTTACTCTCTGGGGGCACATGGACGCAGGCTGGCCAGGGCCAGCTGAGGCAGGTGCTGAGCCGGGACATCAGGAGTCAGATTGAGGCCATGTTCCGAGGAGGGATTTTTCAGCCTGAGCTACTGTCATCCTACAAGGAGGGGCTCTTGGACCAGCAGCAAGGGGATGTGAAGACGGGAGCCATGAAGAACCTTCTGGCTCCCATGGACACCGTGCTTAACAGGCTGGTTGATGCTGGCTACTGTGCAGCATCCCTTCATACCTCTGTTGTGGCCAACTCAGTGGCCTTGCTGTATAAGCTCTTTCTAGATTCTTACTTTAAGGAGGGAAACCAGCTTCTCTGCTTCCAGGTTCTCCCCAGGTTGTTTGGCTGCTTGAAGATTTCACACCTGCAGGAGGAGCAGAGCAAAGCCCTGTCCACATCAGATTGGACCACAGAGCTTTTGGTTGTGGAACAGCTACTAAACTCAGTGGCCAACAACAATATCTACAACATCGCTGCCGACAGAATTCGGCACGAAGAGGCTCAGTTCCGCTTTTACCGCCACGTGGCTGAGCTGCTGATAAACCATGCACAAGCACCCATACCGGCCTGGTTCCGCTGTCTGAAGACTTTGATATCTCTGAATCATTTGATTTTGGAGCCAGACCTGGATGACCTGCTGGCTTCAGCGTGGATCGATGCCGAGGTAACAGAGTTTCGAACCAAAAAAGCCCAGGAGGCGCTTATTCGTACTGTCTTCCAGACTTATGCCAAACTCCGACAAGTGCCACGGTTGTTTGAAGAGGTTTTGGGGGTGATCTGTCGTCCAGCTGCTGAGGCACTGAGGCAGCCTGTGCTGGCCTCGGGCCCCTCCACGGTACTCTCTGCATGCCTCCTGGAGCTGCCTCCAAGTCAGATCCTGGACACGTGGTCCCTTGTGCTGGAGAAGTTCCAGTCTTTAGTCTTGCCCTATTTGCAGAGTGATGCCGACATGGCCCTGAAATCACTGTCACTGAGCTTGCTGCTGCACTGCATCATGTTCAACATGAGGAGCCTGGACAGCAGCACGCCTCTGCCCATTGTCAGACGGACACAGTGCATGATGGAGAGGATGATGAGGGAGCTCGTGCAGCCCCTGCTGGCCCTTCTCCCGGACACCCCAGGCCCAGAGCCAGAGCTGTGGCTGCAGAAGGTCAGTGACTCTGTGCTCCTGCTCTCTTACACTTGGGCCCAGGTGGACGCTATGTTCAGTTTGAACTGTAGCCAGTATCACTCTATGTCTGGGCCCCTTATAGGTGTTGCTCTGGAGATCTCGAACCTCCCTTCGTTGCTCCCAGGTGTAAAAACACAGCATTGGAAGAAGATAGAGAAGTTTACAGCTCAGTTCAGCTCTCTTGGTACATATTGCTTAGAACAGCTGTACCTGCAGAAAATGAAAAGGACTTTAATGCAAACTAGTTTCCGGTCTGAAGGAGCCATCCAAAGTTTGAGGTGCGATGCTGCCTTTATTATTGGTTCCGGCAGAAAAAGCTTGAATCAGAGAACGACGGCTTCCTGGGATGGCCAAGTTGGGATGGTGAGTGGACTCACATACCCTGTAGCACACTGGCACTTGATTGTGTCAAATCTCACAATTTTAATATCCTATCTGTGTCCAGATGATGTGGGATACCTGGCCAGTGTCCTGCTGAGAACTTTACCCATGGGCAAAGCCCAGGAAGTCTCAATAGATGAAGAGGCATACATCACACTGGAAAAAATATCCAAAGCCTTCCTTCATAGCCCTCTCTTTCCAGAGATGCAGTCCCTTCATTCTGCTTTCTTAACGTGCGTAACCACAAGTTGCTCCAGCATTCTGTGTTCTGGTGCCCAGCGTGACTCAGGTCTTGTCAGTCAGCAGCTTCCCTGGCTTTTTGAAAAGGACCACATGGTTGTGGGTCATTGGGAAAACAGATTTGCAAAAGCTGGACCCGAAGGTATAGAACCTAGAGGAGAAATTGCCCAGAACTTACTGTCCCTGGTCAAGAGTGACTTCCCTATCCAGCTGGAGGGAGAGCAGTTGGAAAGCATCCTGGGGCTTTTGGAAGTGATTTCTGCCTTACAGCTGGACAGCCTCTTGCCACCCTATCATGTGCATTATTTTCTTGTGTTACTGTCCATGGCCGTCACCAAACTAGGATGCTCTTGCTCCTCCTCACTGGCTCTCAAGTTCTTGACGACTTGCTACCAACTTCTTGGTTACTTGCAAAAGGGGAAAAGTGCTCGCTCTGTGTTCAAGATCATGTATGGTAGTGATATTTTTGAGGTTGTACTGACCTCATTGTTCAGAGCTAGTAGTAGGTTCCTTATTGAGATGGATGATCCCGCTTGGCTGGAATTCCTCCAAGTGATAGGGACGTTCTTAGAGGAGCTAATGCAGATGCTCATCCAAATGAAGCTGAGCTTGGTGCTCAATTTTAGAAAAATCACCGCATTCCTCTCTAGTTCCAAACCATACACGGAGGCAGCTTCAAGCAAACAATTAGAAAATCAGAACCCCCAGGGCAGGCAGCTCCTTCTGGTGTCTTTAACCAGGTTGTGCCATGTCCTGGGACCTTTCCTCAAAGAGCAGAAGCTGGGCCAAGAGGCCCCAGCAGCACTGTCTGAGCTGCTGCAGCAGGTTGTGCTGCAGACAGGAGCTGTGCTGCAGCTCTGCTCAGTGCCGGGGGCCCGGGGCTGGCGCCTTCCCTCGGTCCTCATCTCATCCGTCAGCACGCTCTTGGAAGCCGACCTGGGTCAGCACTGCAGGGATGGAGGGGCCGACATTTCCCAAGGAAGCGACAGGACGCTGCTCTCCCATGTTGCCCTCTACCAGGGTGTTTACTCTCAGATACTGTTGGAGTTGCCAGCTCTCGCGGGACATGATCAGTCTTTTCAGGCAGCCTTGCAGTTTTTGACTCTGTTCTTTTTGGCCCCAGAACTGCATCCCAAAAAGGACTCCGTGTTTACCTCCATGTTTCATTCTGTGAGAAGAGTTCTTGCAGGTAAGATATTTTCTCTTGAGCTAATTCTGTGTTATAGAGGTCTGGTTTCCACTGCTCCCCTTTTTGGAACTGGGAATAAGTGAACACGTGATGTGTTCAAAAGGTACCACATGTGCGGCTGGGTGCGGTGGCTTACACCTGTAATCCCAGCACTTTGGGAGGCCGAGGCGGGCGGATCACAAGGCCAGGAGATCGAGACCATCCTGGCTAACACGGAGAAACCCCATCTCTAGTAAAAAATACAAATAATTAGCCGGGTGTGGTGGCAGGCGCCTGTAGTCCCAGCTACTCGGGAGGCTGAGGCAGGAGAATGGCGTGAACCCAGGAGGCAGAGCTTGCAGTGAGCCAAGATCGCGCCACTGCACTCTAGCTTGGGCGACAGAGCGAGAGTCTGTCTCAAAAAAAAAAAAAAGTACTACATGTGGACAGTGAGAAGACCTCCCTTCTAGGCCCAGCACCCACGACTTCATGCCCTCTATTTACATTCTAGGCGTACATAAGCAATTACTGCTACAACGGTTTCCTTGCTTTCTGTGCAAACAGCAGCCTCCTCCGTATGTTGCTCTGCACCTCAGTTGCTCACTGATTTTGGAGGTTGCTCTGTGTACGTTTATAGTTTTGAAATCTGCTCCTCTTCAGCTTTTTAGCCTTTAACTTGTCCTGGCTGCAATGAGATACATAGATACCTGCATCCTTAGTAGGTTCTTATGTATCAGACTTTCAGTGCCATAAATTGACTTTAAAAAGATATGAAAATCTGCCAACTTTAAAAAAGTACAAATCAGAGCCAGGCGTGGCAGCTCACGCCAGTAATCCCAGCACTTTGGGAGGCTGAGGGGGCAGATTGCTTGAGTCCAGGCAACATGGCAAAACCCCATCTCTACAAAAAATACAAAAATTGGCCAGGCATGGTGGCATGCGTCTGTAGTCCCAGCTACTCAGGAGGTTGAAGTGGGAGGATCACCTGAGCCCAGGGAGGTCGGTGCTGCAGTGAGTCTTGATCCTGCCATTGTACTCCAGCCTGGGTGACACAGTGAGATCCTGTCTCATAAAAAAATAAATTAAAAAAAGTACAAATCACTTAATTTCTTTTTTTTTTTTTTTTGAGATGGAGTCTCACTCTGTCTACCAGGATGGAGTGCAGTGGTGCAATCTCAGCTCACTGCAAGCTCCGCTTCCCGGGTTCATGCCATTCTCCTGCCTCAGCCTCCCAAGTAACTGGGACTACTGGCACCCGCCACCACGCCCGGCTAATTTTTTTGTATTTTTTAGTAAAGACAGGGTTTCACCATGTTAGCCAGGATGGTCTCGATATCCTGACCTCATTATCCGCCCACCTCAGCCTCCCAAAGTACTGGGATTACAGGCGTGAGCCACCATGTCCAGCCAAATCACTTAATTTCCAAAGAGCCTCTTACAGTTCCTTGAGGACAGGACTGTGCCTTCCTTAGTTCACCCCTGTCCCCCCACCATATTAGGGTGCTGCCAGGTGCAAGTGCTCACTGGACCAAGGCTAACCTTCAATGTCATCAAAGTGTTTTAGTCTGAAGGCAGCCTTCCAAGCAGCAAACTAGGACCTCGTACACAGCCTCGAAGCAAGAGAGCTCATGTCTTCCTGCACAGAGTCGACCTTTACAGCCCCCCTGGTGAAAGGTTAATGGGTTACTATGCAGCCGTTAAAAATATAATTATGAAAACTATTATGAAGACAAGGGCTAGAAATATCTAGAAAATATTAAGCAAAAAAAGTACAGTATGAAATGTTAAATATGCCACAATTACAGCTATATAAGATATACATGCGTGCAGACAAAGGCTAGAAACCCATCCAAAAATTAAAATAATTATTGTATTAACATGCATGTATTAACATGCATTGTATTATTGCATTAACATGTTGTGATTGTTGCTATTTTCTTATTTTGTACACTTTAATGTTGCATTTTAATAAGAATAAATCAAAATACTTTTCTATGATTTAATTAAATATGCCATAAGCAGGGGATAGATTATAATGTTTTTGGAGGCCCATTTAGAGTTTGTTGAGGTTTTCCTCTACAGTGAAGGATGATTAAGATTTGTTACCTTTATTAGGGTATACAAATAAAACACACTTTTACTCCTCCCAAACAAACAGTTAATGGAAGAGATTTCTTGTTTCAAGATGGCACACATCACAGTTGTGGGGGGTCTTTTCTTTTTTGTTTTGGTGGTAACGAAAGGGCTGGGGTCAGGTCAGTCTTTTGAGGTGAGGTCTGGAAGTCAGCCGAATCTGACCCTCGTTAATGTCACATTAACGTCTGTGTTAAGCACACCTTAACCTCTGTGTTTCTGGGTGGAGAAGCTGTGACGGGTGGGGCCACGGGCGTGCCTTTCGGTACGTGAGGGTTAAATGGGTTCTCGCAGAAAGTAAAGCCATCTGGTCTGCCTGTGCCAGTGCCAGAACTGAAGTGCCATGGGCCAAATCACGCTGCTGTTGTCTCCCTTTCAGTAACCTGTCTCTGGCTGGATTGTGGATTAACTGAAAGGCTTTGATATTACATTGTTCTGTCTTATTGTGTTAGGGTCTCTTTTAGCGAATGGTGTTCACCTTCTTAATGGGGGCTAAAATAGAGTCTTTTATTAAGCCTAATTACAGTGTTCTAAGTGACTGGCCCAAGAAATGGCAGCTGGTGGTCTGAAGCTCTGCCCTGTGCCCCTTAGCTAAAGAGAATATTGTGTCCTCCTTTTCCTCTTCAACCCTACTGAGTTGAGGCAATCTCTTTTTTTTTTTTTTTTTTTTTGAGACAGAGTCTCATTCTGTCACCTAGGCTGGAGTACAGTGGCCCGGTCTCGGCTCACTGCAACCTCCGCCTCCCGGCTTTGAGCGATTCCCATGCCTCGGCCTCCTGAGTAGCTTGGATTACAGGCATGCACCACCATGCCCGGCTAATTGTTGTATTTTTAGTAGAGATGGGGTTTTACCGTGTTGGCCAGGCTGGTCTCGAACTCCTGACCTTAAGTGGTCTGCCTGCCTCAGCCTCCGAAAGTGCTGGGATTACAGGCATAAGCCACCGTGCCTGGCCAAGTTGAGGCAGTCTTTAAGTCCTAAGTGTATGTCCCTGGACTGCTGGTACCTTATTTCCTCAGGGACAGAGCACCTCGGTCACAGTGTGGTCAGGGTTGGGCAAGGCCAGCCTGCCACACTGTGCCCTCAGCTCATGGGCCTGGGGTGTTGCTGTGTCCAGGCCTCTTCCACCTGAGCTGTTAGATACTGTCCAGGGAAGTGCCAGAGTTGTGAGTGCTCTGGAAGAAATGCCAAGTGAGGAGTGGCCCAAGGCTTTGGGCAGGGAGAGGGAGTGTGAAGAGGCGCCGTGCAGGTGCCCCAGCCATGGAGTTCTCCCTGTGTCCTTAAGGATGGCTCAGAGGTGGGCTTTTGTAAAGAATGCCTTCTGACAGCAGAACAGAGGACCTGAATTCAATTACAGAAATCAACACTTCTAAAAATGCTTCTTGGCTGGGAGTGGTGGCTGGCATCTGTAATCCTGCACTTAGGGAGGCTGAGCCAAGAGATCACTTGAGGCCAGGAGTTTGAGACCAACCTGGGTGAAAAAGCAAAACCCCATCTCTACAAAAAGCCGGTGTGGGTAGCATGCACCTGTGGTCCCAACTACTCCGAAGGCTGAGGCGAGAGGACCCCTTGAGCCCAAGAGGTCGAGGCTGCAGTGATCCATGATTGTGCCACTGCACTCCAGCCTGGGTGATGGAGTGAGACCCTGTCTCCAGAAACATAAAAAAAACCAATTAAAATGCTTGTATGTTTGAGGCTGTATCCTGCTCTGGAGATGAGTGAGGTGTTGATTTTGGCCTATGTAATTAAGTAAACAGACATTCGCACAAATCACAGGGTAAAGGTGGGGGAGACGCCATAAAGCGAACCAGAGCGATGGGACTCGGTGGAGAGGCCACATACAGGCCACGTGTGAGTGGCCCTTGAAGGGTAGCTAGGGCAGGTGGAAATGGGAGCCTTTCATGTGAGGGCACTATGTTGTGAGCTCTGTGGCCTTTTTTTGTTTGCCAGCCACAGGAGTTGGTGCTGTTATGCCCACTTCACTGATGAGGGAGTTGAGGTTCAGAGAGATCATGGGTCCAGGGTTTTACAGCTTGTGGGAGACTTGGACCTAGGTCTTTACCTCTCAAAAGTCCCCTTTCCCCCAGTGCTGTAAATAGTAAGCAAAGACAGGAAAGCAGGAAGGTATTCTGGCAATGTGGAATAGGCAGATGGGGCTGAAGCGCTGGCTGGAAAGATGACCTGGGGCCAGACGATAAAGGGCCTTGAGTGCCCTGGCTTTGGGCGTTATTGTGAAACCGTGGGCCCAAGGACACTGGGGATGATGGGGAACAGCTGGGTGACTTCCTGACAGTCATCCAGGCCTGAAAAGTGGAGCTCTCTTAGTCTTTCTGACTTTCCCATCTGTTTAAAATACCACCTACTCTTGCAGCCCTACCGATTTTATAAAGAAACACAAAGAAAATAGAGAAATAAAATACAGTTGACCCTTGAACAACATAGGGGTTAAGGCACCAACCCCCAGCACAGTAAAAAATTCCGTGTATATCCTTCTGATACAATTCTATTAAAAAAATCTTGTATTACTTTTGACTCTCTAGAAACTAAACTACTGATAGCCTACTGTTGACCAAAGCCTTGCTGAACATAAACAGTCGATTACCACGTATTTTGTGTATGTATTTATGTATTATATTCTTACAATCAAGTAAGCTAGAGAAAAGAAGATGTTATTAAGAAAATAACAAGGAAGGGAAAATGTATTTGCCATTCATTAAGTGAAGTAGGTTATCATCAAGGTCTTCATCCTCTTCATCCTCACACTGAGTAGGTTGAGGAGGAGGAAGAGGAGGGGTTGGTCTTGCAGTCTCAGGGGTGCTAGAGGCAGAAGAAAACCCATGTATAAGTGGATCCATGCAGTTCAAACATTGTTCAAGGGTCAACCGCACAAAGCAATAATCACTGTCTTCTGTGGTTCAGGTTTACCTCCTAAGCATGGCTGTCGTCTTCTGTGTTTGTGTGTGTACACACAATGCACAGGCGTAGCTGTGCGTGTGAGAGCATGGCATCACAGTAACTACGTGTACCTGCTTTTTCCACCAGTGCTTATATCACCATGCCCCTAACTTGGTGATTTTTGATGGCGGCCACAGCTGTGCGCAGTTTCATCCTATGGCTACTTGGTAGTTTATTTCACCTGTCACATCTTAACAATTTTGGTTTCTTTCCCACACAGATCCTGAAATTCCTGTTCAGGTCACTCAGGATATTGAGCCTCATTTGGGAGCCTTGTTCACCCAAATGTTAGAGGTTGGGACGACAGAGGACTTGAGGCTGGTGATGCAGTGTATTCTCCAGGGACTGGATGTCAGTAACATGTGGAAAGCAGATGTGCAGGTGGGTGCCTTCTCCCTCCTTGTGTGGCAGGCTCAGAAACCACGTCGGCTCAAATGGGAAAACTGATTTGAGATGTGGTGTCACCCTTAAAACTAAACAAGTTCTAACTGGTAGAGACTCTAGGCAAAGGGGGAGGCTGTGAGAGGGAGCCCTGGCCTGTGGGACAGCCCAGGCTGCGGCATAGGGAGGCCTTAGTTTTCAAACGGGAAGTTTTTCAAATAACAAATGTGTTGTCTTATTACGTTAAATACTAAGTGTTACACATTCACAAAACTGATCCATAAAAAAGTTAAATTCTGCTCATTCTTTGCTGAAGACCTCTCACACCATACTTCTTGAAACATGTGGCCTGATTGGGCCATACTGCCTTCATGCCAGCATTTGAGAAGCACCTAGGTTAGCCTACCCCCTTCAGTTCTGACAGAAGTCGCTAATACAGCCTGCATGGTGTTGCATTTGCTGAGTGCCTTTGCACAGAGCTCACATGCTGGGATTTGTTTCTCTGAATGCCTGTGGGCACTGGACTGGTCAGACATCTCTTACGCAAGGAAGAAGGCCACAGGCCACAGAGCCAATGGTTGGTGGGGCAGAGAGTCCAGCCAAGGTCTCTGGTCTAGGCATATTCTGCCTCATGAATGGCTTATTGACTCCTGGTCATATACAGCACACTGGTATTGGGTACTGATTTGGGCAGGAGAGGAAACAAACCTAAATTTCTGTTTGGACCAGTTGGTCAGGAGACTTCCCGGAGGAAGTGAAACTCCAGCTGTGCACTGAAGAATGCAGGGGACTTGATTGGGGAGCAGAGGTGAGGGGAAGGGAGGCGTGCACCGTGCAGGCAGCGTGTTGGGCTGCCAGGAGCAGGGGATGTGCAAGAGTGAGAAGATGGACAGGGAGAAGTGGTGCCAGGGGGGCAGGCCCTGGTGGGGAGATAGCCTGTAGGTGGGCAGGAGAGTGGGAGTGGAGATGGGGCTTTGGGGTGTGCCTAGTCAGAGGGAGCAGGGAAGGGAAGAGAGTGAAAGGCAGAAGCCAGGACTTTGGCTAGGGTTGTGGGGTGGGCTGCACAGCATTCGGGGAGAAAGGGACGGTGTGAGGCTGAAATAGGAACTCACTGACAATGTGAAATGCCTGGCACTGGGTCTGTTTGTTCATATAGGCACCCCGTAAAGGTAGGGCTCTGCCCACATCTCATGGTTTAAAACCTTATTTTTCAAAGGGGAAGTTTTTCAAATTACAAATGTGTGGTCTTATTATGTAAAATACTAAGTATTACATATTCACAATACTGATATGTATAAAAGTTAAATTCTGGCCGGGTGCGGTGGCTCATGCCTGTAATCCCAGCACTTTGGGAGGCCAAGGTGGGTGGATTATATGAGGTCAGGAGTTCGAAACCACCTGGCCAACATAGTGAAACCCCGTCCCTGCTAAAAATACAAAAATTAGCTGGGCCTGGTGGTGGGTGGCTGTAATCCCAGCCACCTGGGAGGCTGAGGCAGGAGAATCGCTTGAGCCCAGGAGGTGGAGGTTGCAGTGAGCAGAGATCATGCCATTGCACTCCAAGCCTGGGTGACAGAGCGAGACTCGGTCTCGAAAAAAAAAAAAAAGTTAAATTCTGCTCACTCTGTGCTTAAGACCTCTCCCACCATATATTTTGAAACATGTGACCCGATTGGGTCATATTGCCCTCATGTCAGCATGTAGCACCCGTGACCACAGCACCTAATCCGATTGTTTTCACATTTTCCTCCAGCCCCTCCTATCTGTAAGCGTGCATCGTTGCTCAGTGAAGTAACAGCCAGTGTCCTCTGCGTGGACAGAGCCTTGACAAGACGGGCTCTCTGTAATTAGGTCACAGTGTGTGACCCTTTTGCAATTCACTGTCCTGGCCGATTTACGTGCTTGATTTAGTGAAATGCTGCTGAAAGACCCTGACTTTGCCCCAGCTCTGCTCATCTTCTTCACTTCCTTCCTGTCTGCATGCTGATGTGAAGGGTGTCCCTCCCAGGACTTAACCCCAAGCAGGCCTTGTCCACCTCCCCTGACACCAGGGCTCTCAATCCACTCCAACGCCACAGCCCCAGAGAGCAGTCTTCTTCCCCAGGCGGAGTTCTTAAGGGAGAACACGCTATCTCTGCCGCTAAGTTTTTTCTCTCTTGCCCCAGGCTGTTGTGTCAGCTGTTACACTGCTGAGGCTGCTACTGAACTGCCCACTCAGTGGAGAGAAAGCAAGTCTGTTGTGGCGTGCGTGTCCCCAGATAGTCACAGCTTTAACAGTGAGTACCCTCTGGAGATGTGTCCTCTAGCTCCTCCCCTCCCTCTTCCTGTAAAGACAGAAGTCAGCCTTTTGGGGTCTGCTGCCCTGTAGCTTTATGCAGAACGTGTGTGTGGGCTACTTCCAAAGGGCGGTGGTGAGCAGGATGCCGAGCTTGTGTGTCCTGCCTGAGCACATTGGTATCAACGGTTGGAGCAGTGGAAGGGAAGTGCTAACAAGGGACATTTAGTAGCACTGGGAAGCATCAGACAGGCAGTAAGAAGAGGGATGTAGTGATAAAGGGAGGCTATCGTGGAGGCCTGCTTAATTTTTAAAATTTTATGTTTTATTATTTTTTTAGAAATGGAGTCTCACTGTGTGGTCCAGGCTAAGGTGAAGTGGCTATTTGCAGTTGCAAATGTAGTGTTCTGCAGCCTCAAACTCCTGGCCTCAAGTGATCCTTCTGCCTTAGCCTCCCAAGTCACCAGGATTATAGGTGCATGCCACTGCAGCCAGCTTGTAGATGCCTATTTAATCAGATGATAAAAGAAGGAATTCTGGGGCTTTCTTTGTCCCCACAAAATGTTGTGGTTAGTTTAATGCACTCATTTATTTGTAGGAGTTGTATGTGTGTGTGTGTTTAAGGCCTATGATACAGTGAGAATAAAATGCTTTACAGGATGGGATAGTAATGTTGCAGATAGGAGTTTATTTTGTTACAGTCTTACTCAAATGTTAAAATTTGTGTCCAGTTGTTGCTAGGCTGTTTGTTTCACTAGAACAGTCTGGTTCAGATTGGGACTGCCTCCTGCCCTCTAAAAACCCTGACCTGGGTGTTCTTACACTTAGGTGCGAAGGAGCAGTATCTATTTTACCATCATACTCTGCCCTAATTCTAGCTGTTGCTACCTGAGACAATTGCCCTGGGTTAGCATGTTCCTGGGGCAAAAGGGTCTAAAAAACAGACTTAATATTCTCTCTTGTTTCCAATTTGGCTGCTTTGTCATTTTCCTGAGCATCCGTGTTGGTGGATGGCAGGGGTCATCGTCACCGAGCATGTGTGGTGAGCATCAGGAGAGGCACGTGACCCATGCTGACGGGCAGGGACAGTGTTGATGATGCGTGTGGTAGGCCCTCACTGATAAGAACACTGGGCTAGAATCCACTTACGTCCACCCAGAGGGTGTAGCAGGGGTCCGCACAGCCAGAATACCCAGCAGAACAGTGAGCATTGTGAGAGACAGGACCCAAAAGGCCTCACCAGGGCTGCTGTGTATCTGAGAAGGAGGGTCACAGGTGAGCTGTCCCAGGTTACTTAGGTAAGACTTTGAGCTGTCCTTCCTCTTGGGTCTGTTCTCTTTATATTCTAGATCATGAATTGAATATCTTTCACTAGAGCTGATCTGTAAGAAGTTTAGCAAATAGTATTTAACGGCCCACGGACCACATCAATTCATTTTGGAGCACAGACATTTCTACCTCAGTCACTCAGAGCTGCAGTGTTTGTGTTATTTCCTTGGGGAATTACTTTCATTTTTCCTTTATTTTATTTTGCCCTTTAGCTCTTAAACCGAGAAGCTTCTCAGGAGCAGCCTGTGTCCCTCACAGTGGTCGGGCCTGTCTTAGATGTCCTGGCTGCACTGCTGCGGCAGGGGGAGGAGGCCATCGGCAACCCCCACCACGTCAGCCTGGCCTTCAGCATCCTTCTCACTGTCCCTTTGGACCATCTGAAGCCGCTGGAGTATGGAAGCGTCTTCCCGAGGCTGCACAACGTGCTCTTCTCAATCCTGCAGTGTCACCCTAAGGTGAGAAGGAGGGTGAGAGTGGCAGGCAGCTTTTCCTCTGCGAGCAGGGTACTTGAAGTCTGTAGAAAAGTGGCAGCAAAACTTTACTGTTGCAGGATAATAATACAAATAACGATTTGCTAGGCAAACTTTCTGTTCTAGTAAATTTCAGAGCCAGGTGGTTTCTCAAGCATAAAAATGCTCGACCTTCATACTGGGTTTGTGAGCGAGTTTTTCTTCATTGGATCTGGTGCTATGAATAGTGTTTGTATACTACAGGTTGAACACTTCTAATCCAAAATGCTCCAAAGCTCGAAACTTTTAGAGTGCTGACATCATGCTACCAGTGGAAAATCCCACTCCTGACCTCATGTGACTGGTCGCAGTCAAAACACAGTCAAAACTTTGTTTCATGCAAAAAATTATTTAAAATTATTGCATAAAGTTACCTTCAGCTATGTGTATAAACTATATAAAGTGAAACATAAATGAACTTTTAAATTATATTTAGATGGGTCCCATCTCCAAGATATCTCATTGTATATATGCAAATATTCCGAAATCTGAAATCTGAAACACTTCTGGTCCCAAAGCTTTAGGATAAGGCATACACAATCTATACTATTTAAGGAAGCTCATTAAAAATTACTCTGTTTTTGCTCACCACGTCTTTAAATAAGCCACTCGCATAGATCCCTTGCTGGGCTTATAATTCAAATGGATATAGGGAATGAAGCATCCTGAGTTCCAGTTTTATAGTATGCTCCTTTTTAAGTTAAACTGAAACTAGGGATAAATGTCCCACAGAAAAAATTACAGTTCAGTTAACATTTATTGAACATTTGATGTGTTCCACCCCTATAGCAAGCCTGTGAAGGAGGCAGTAATCCCATTTTATTGATGAGTAAACTGAGGCTCAGTGCCGCCAAATAATTTGACCAGTGTCACTTAGCTGAGTCTAAACCTTAGACTCAAGACTTGTTATCTTTGACCAGTGTTCTTTTCATGGTGCCACCACTGTATGTGTGGCTGACTATGTATGTAGGAACTCATAGATACGACGGTTAATGCATCGCTTAATGACAGAGACTTGTTCTGAGAAATGTGTCGTTAGGCATTTTTGTTGTGCAAACACCATAGATCGTATAATACTTTCACAAACCCAGATGGTACAGAGTACTGCACACCTAGGCTATGGGGTATAGCCTGTTGCTTCTGGGCTAGAAACCTACAAACCTGTACAACATGTGACTAATGAATCCTGTAGACAGTTGTAACACAATGGTAAGTATTTGTGCATTTAAACAGAGAAAAGTTCCATTAAAAATACAATCTTATAATCTTATAGGACCACTGTTGTTTATACAGTATGCCTTTGACCAGAGTATTGTTTTGTAGTGCATGGCTGTGTGTCATATATTCATGCACATTCAGATACTTTTAAGTGTTTTGATGTCCTAAGGATAGAGACCTGCCAGCAATGCAGTTTTTAAGAAAAATATTCTCTGGTAAGCTAAACACTCATGACATTGGTTCTAACTCTAAAGCCTTCCCCTGTTAACAATTGCCTTTGACCCTATTTATCTTGTCAGCATCTTTGTTTTAAAATCTCTCTGCTGATGTTAGATTTGTATGTAACTGTACAATATAAATGCAATGCACATAAATTACAAACTGAAATTACAGGTGCAGGATTTCATGAAGTTGATGAAAGTAATACTAGAAAGCAGCTTGATTCTTCTGCAAAACCATTAGCAAATGACCATTTAGTGGAATTAGATCATTTAACGAATGGAGAAAATTGACAAGGATAATGACATGGTATTACAGTAAAGAATGATGTGAATTAATCATAGCTCACTCTCATCTGTTGGGGTTGTGTAGGGAATCTGATGGATGATCACAGCATCAACAGTGTGCATGGTAGGCCCACACTGATGTAAACACGCAGCCAGAATCCTCTTAGGTGCATCTAAAGGGTATGGTAAGAAGTCAGCACAGCCAGCATACCCAGCAGAATGATCAGCAGCTAGTGCTGTTCCAAGCACTTTACATGGCTTAGCTTGTTCAATCCTCATGACAACCTATCATCCTCATTTTGCAGATGAGGAAACTGAGGTGCACACATACAAAGAAAAGCTAGATGATTTGTTCAAGATCATAAGGAGCCAGAGTGTGAACCCAGATAGTTCCAAAAGGATTTGTGTGCTTTTCATCAGTATGATAGCAAAGGATTAAGAGAGGGTCCTTGGGGAACTGGGTGAAACGCTGGAATACTTTTGCAAAAACGACTTCTTTCTGAATATGCTGCAAAAAGTCAGTAATTTGACATGACGAATGTGGTATTATGCTATCAAAAATTTTGTTGGACAGATTATGCCAAAGAGAATAATCCCGACACTTGACTTACTCTCTGTTCACTCTCACACGTGATGCAGCACTGTCCAGCAGTGGTCAGCAGTGGTGGGTGTGTGCTGTGTCTCCATCGTCCAGTATGGTCACCACTGGCCACAGCTGTCTTGACCACTTGAAATGTGGCCAGTATGACTAGGAACTGAATATTTAATTTTATTTAATTCTAATTAATTTAAATGTAAGTAGTCACATGTGGCTGGTGGTGCTCTGCTGGACAGTGTGTGGTTGTGATTCAGACCTAAAGATGATTGACTATAAAAGAGGCATGTTTTGTCATCAAAATCTCATTTTCTTTTTTTTTTGAGATGGAGTCTCGCTCTGTCACTCAGGCTGGAGTGCAGTGGTGCGATCTTGGCTCACTGTAACCTCTGTCTCCTGGGTTCAAGCAGTTTTTGTGCCTTGGCCTCCCCAGTAGCTGGAATTACAGGCATCCGGCGCCATGCTTGGCTAATTTTTGTATTTTTAGTAGAAACAGGGTTTCACCCTGTTGGCCAGGCTGGTCTCCAACTCCTGACCTCAGATGATCCGCCTGCCTCGGCCTCCCAAAGTGCTGGGATTATAGGTGGGAGCTGCTGCGCCCGGCTGAAATCTCATTTTTCGAGATGAAGTTTTCAAGCAGACCTTTTCACCACTATTAATTGAGAGGTTTTGGTCCCTATTTTAAGTGCATTTGCTTCAACATAATCTTTTTTTTTTTGTACCAATGATACTTGAATATATTAATTAGTACTGTTCCTATTATTGTTTGTTTCTACCCATTTCCAGAATGGATTAGCACCAGCTTAGAGTAAAAGGTACAGACTCAGCAAATTCCAAACCAGGATTGCCCCATAGACCTCCTGAAGTTACGCAGTGTGGGTTCTCTACCCTAGATAGTTAAAACAAGGGTCAAAGAGTCTAATACAAGATGGGTGAGCAGTGACAGCAGCATGTCCAGGCGAAAGGATGTGGCTATCCCTGGGCACACACAACTGGTTTGAGTGTCCCGATAGACTAGGCTAAGAAAGAAATAAGTATGAGCTCCTTTAAAGTAGAAAAACTTAAATAATCACGTATGTACTTTTACATTCTGTTATCTGTCATTACAGGTAATGCTGAAAGCCATCCCTTCTTTCTTGAACTCTTTCAATAGATTGGTGTTTTCAGTTATGCGGGAAGGGCGGCAGAAGGACAAAGGTAATTTGGAGTAACATCAGACACAGTTTCAAATATATTCATCATGAGGTGTGGCTGCTGGCCACATATGTTACTGAAAATAAAACTACTCACTTGTGTTTAAATAAGAGAAATGATATCAAATGAATACTCAAAATATATATTTTTTAAAATTTCAAATGGTCACATTTTATCTTATCCAAAACAGTGGATGAATCAGGCATCTCCTTATTGAAATAGTTCCTTTTCTGGGAAAAAAAATATCAGATTTAGGAAATGTTTACTGAGCATGTATATCATGTAAAGGGGATATAAAAATGACTTACAACCCCATTCCTGCCCTTAAGGAGCTTATAGTTCAATAGGGAGATGAAAAGGAACAGGCAGGTATAGAGCAATCTCATTTTATAAAAGGGATAAGGTCCTGCCGCTCACTGTTCCAGCCTCACCTTGGCAAGGGTGTGTTTGTTTACTAGGGAAACACTAACTGCCATATGGC
This sequence comes from Homo sapiens, assembly GCF_000001405.40. Lineage (NCBI taxonomy): Eukaryota > Metazoa > Chordata > Mammalia > Primates > Hominidae > Homo > Homo sapiens. The sequence goes on from NC_000001.11 coordinate 229,651,801, forward strand.
AATAGCATATATTATGTGTACAATTCATTTTTCAGCTTTGAAGTTGATTCTTGTTGAATTTCTAATTTGAGGGAGACTTTTATTATTTTAAAAATTGCTGGCCGGGCGCAGTGGCTCATGGCTGTAATCCCAGCAATTTGAGAGGCTGAGGTGGGTGGATTACCTGAGGTCAGGAGTTGAAGCCCAGCCTGGCCAACATGGTGAAACCCTGTCTCTACTAAAAATACAAAAATTAGCTGGGCGTGATGGTGGACTCCTGTAATCCGAGCTACTTGGGAGGCTGAGGCAGGAGAACTGCTTGAGCCCGGGAGGCGGAGGTTGCAATGAGCTGAGATCGCGCCATTGCACTCCAGCCTGGGCGATAGAGCAAGACTCTGTCTCCAAAAAAAAATAAAAAACAAAAAAAAAAATTGCATGAATTTCGATTTTATTTTGCAGTATTTTGAAATTGCATAGCATGTACCAGCCCTGTACTGTCTGATGTGCTAAGCAGTAGGTCAGGGTGTCAGCTCAGAGGCTCTGGGACCATAACTCAACTCGGGGTGTCAGAGAAGAGCCTGTGACCGTAGTTGTGGGCCGACTGGAAATACAGGAGTGGTGCTCAGCTTCTCTCCCACCATTGTGGTTCAGTTTTGTAGACCTAAGCAATAGGCTTTTAACCAGACATCTTTTGAGAAAAGGAAAAGGGCATTGTTAAGACTAGGCTTCAATTCCTCTGCCCGGTTTTGGGATCAATCAGTGGCACAGTTAGATATTTCGCTTCTTCCTGTATCTGGTGCAGAGCACGTCAGCTTCATATTGTGAATCGATTTAGGAGCAGCCTTAGTAAACAAGTTTCCCCTCCCATGCCAGCCTCAGCAAGTTGGTGGTGGCTGCCTACAGTTCTGTGTCAAAGCCTCTCCCATCATGTCTGAGCTCAGCAAGGAGGAATCTCTGTTCTTGTAGTCATGTCTGCCTGGACGGAAGGCCGGGGCCTTGCTCAGCAGTGGTGGAGCACAGCCTGGTCACACTGCCACAGGCATGTCCTTTGTCATGTATTTGAGGAAGCACAGGAGCACATCACACTTCTGGGACTCTGTGCTGTGTTCATGTGAAGGTAGCTTCGTCATCTTATCTGCTAAGACCTGGTTCTCAGACACATTCATGGCTTAACTGAGTAGAGTTTTAACTATTTTATTATCTCTTTTATTGGTATCTAATATGCTCTTTCTAATGAGCATGCATTAAATTGGTGGCCGAAATAACAAGTGCTATGTATTCATGTTGTAAATAGCATGTATATGGTGAACAGTCTGAAAAGAGAAGAAACAGTCAATGTTAGATATTAAAGCATATCACTAAAGTATATTGTCTGTTGAAATGCTACATGAATGTTAACAGTTGACATCATTTCATACAATTACATTGATCTAGAAAAATTACATCTATAAAAGATGTCTGTATGCTTATTCACGGTCTTCAAAAAAGATATGCCTTCTAAAAATCAAATTTATTGAGTTATATACAATGTATGCATAACAAATTGCTTCTGTTTAAAGTATAAAATTTAATGGGTTTTATGTATATATGAAGCCGTCCCCACAATCAAAATATAGAATATTTTCCATCATCCTTAAAAGATTCCTCTTGTTTCTTTGCAGTTTTTTCTCCACTCTGGTCCCAGCCCCAGTCACCCATCTGCTTTTTGTCCTTATGGATTTGTTTGTGTTTTCTGGAGTTTTATAAAAATGTGCCTACCATTGTGCTGAATGACAGCAGGGAAGGTGCTCTGGTGTGTGCTAGAACTTCCCCATGAGCTGTAACTCAAGCTGTGGGGACACTCATGCAATTAGGATTCTTGGGAGGAGTTTGTTAAGAGGCCCTGGACGGTCCTGACACCATATGGTAGGAAAAGAACTAGGAATCAGAAGTAAATCTAAGAAGACAGTAGAATGTCTGCTAATGATAATTGAGTCCTATGTCTGTCCACCTATAAAAGGCACATACACAAACAATTTCTGAAATGTAAGGAGGCAAAGACATAATTTAGGGTATCTCATTTTTTAAATCATATGATGTCGGTAGATGATTTTCTCCACTTAAGATAATTTTCAATTTGTTTTCCATTTGCCTTTATTATAGAACTCCATCTTGGTGTTTTTTTTTTTTTTTTTTTTTTTTAAGTAATCCTAGATTTCATCCTAAAAATCTTGATTACTTTTCTGGTTAGACTCTTAAAAACACCCGAGCACTCTTGAGTTTTTTAAAGTGTCCTTCCCTTTGTTGTGTAGATAACTGTTTGGACATATCTGTTCTCCCTTATTCTGTCTGCAAAATAAGCCAATTAAAGAGTCTGGGAAAACATGTAACACTTGAGATAATTTTCACCCATATTAAAAGTCTAACATAGAAGAGTTAAAATGTGCTGTTTTTGAACTAATTGGTTGGGAAACACTTTGTTGTCTGTAGGAAGCATAGATGACCTGCCTACGGTCCTAAAGTGTGCACGCCTGGTTGAAAGAATGTACAGCCACATCGCCGCACGAGCTGAGGAGTTTGCTGTGTTTTCCCCATTTATGGTGGCCCAGTACGTGTTGGAGGTACAGAAGGTAAAATTGGGTTCAATGTCTTTCACCAAGTACTGTGTTTATGGTCCTTAAGCAGGGTTTCTCAACCAAAATGGCAAGCGGTGTTCTGGATCTGACAGTTCTCTGTTGCTGTGTGCAAGTTTTAGACAGGGTTTTGCTCTCTCACTCAGGCTGGAGTGCATTAGTGCGATGATAGCACACTACAGCCTCGAACTCCTGGGCTCAAATGTTCCTCCCGCCTCAGCCTCCCAAGTAGCTAGGACTACAGGCATGTACTACTCCACTCAGCTAATTTTTAAATTTTTGTAGAGATGGGGTCTCCCTATGTTGTGCAGGCTGGTCTCAAACTCCTGGCCTCAGGCCTTCCTTTCTCTTCAGCCTTCCCATTCTCTGGAGTCCTGTCTAGTTCAAGGTGTTTAGCAGCATTCCTACAGGGTTATTGTAAGGACCAAATGAAATGACATACAGAGGGCTCAGTGGTGCCTTGTACACAGAAAATGCTCGATTATCTGTCTTGCTCTAGCACAAACTTCGGGGTCTATTTGGTTAGTTTCTTGAGTTATATAAAAGGAGAGGAAATGTTACTCAGGTCCAAGAACAGGAGCTCTCATAGGACCAGGCTTAATGGAGACTAGAAAGAGGAGTTCTAGACCTCAGGATTCTGGGATCCCCTCAGCTGCAAGAGTTCATGTATCTTTACTCTGGCGGTGTGTCACTCATGTGACTCAGCTGCTCTCAGACACTCAAAGTCGATGACAAGGTGGAGATACAGGTAGTTGTTAAAATAGACAGATTAAGAAAAAACATGTTTGTCCAAATTAATCTGACTTTTTGATTCAGTGTTCTGGATAATTCACTATTCAACAGTTATCTTTTTTCTTTTTGAGATGGAGTTTTGCTCTTTCTCCCAGGCTGGAGTGAAGTGGTGTGATCTCAGCTCACTGCAACCTCTGCCCCGTGGGTTCAAGTGATTCTTCTGCCTCAGCCCCCTGAGTAGCTAGGATTATAGGTGCCCACCACCACGCCCAGTTAATTTTTGTATTTTTAGTAGAGACAGGGTCTTGCCATGTTGGCCAGGCTGGTCTCAAACTCCTGACCTCAGGTAATCCACCCGCCTTGGCCTCCCAAAGTGCCAGGATTACAGGTGTGAGCCACCGCGCCCAGCCATTCAACAGTTATCTTACTTTGGAATGTCATTATGCTATTTTCAAAATTCCACAGGATCCTGTGTGACCCATAGTAAGTTCACTACAGAACTTTGTAAATCTATGCTGTATAAATCTTGGTTTAAATTGACTGTCATAGGCTTGAGCAAAGTGCGGTGTATTCTTTTGACTGTCTTCTTCTGTATGTATAGATATACATTTATATTGTGTTCAATCTCTCTGTAAAATACCCATTTCCCCTTTGTAAATCTTGTAAGAACAATAGTAAAATCACAAGTAAGCTTGTTAGGGTAGAGGTGTCAGCATTTGTCCAGGGAGGCTGGGTTGAATGGGCTTCCTTAGAAAACCTGGAGCTGCATCACTTTTCATCCCTGCTCCTGTTTTAGATACATCTAGAACTACTAAATAATTTCTACCCCGCTGGCCTTGCTCACCTCGGCAGGTGGCGATGCCTGTCCTGTGGGTGGGGACATGGGGGCAGCCTGGCCATGTGAGTGCACACACCTTACCGGGTGTGGAGCCCACACCTGGTAAGTGTTGTGGATCTTGAGAACACCCCTTCACGTTGTCCTTTGACCAAGATGTGGGCTTGTAGTTTGGTTTCATTGCAGTTATTTGGCCTTTTTATGGAATCTTAGTATTTCCCAAGCACACCAGTCGTTAACATGTAAGCTTTTGATGAAAGAAAAGCTGGCGTTATTTTCTGTCTTACTGAATAATAAAATGAGACATAGTAATATCACTTCACTAAGAGCCAAGAAGAGAAGCAGTAATTTGAACCCTTCAGTCACTAATTATTATTCTGAAATTTACTTTATGAAAAGCCTCTGGCTTCCTGGCCTCATTATTCATGTCTAATTTATGCTCATTAGTTATATTTTATTTTTAATCTTGAAAGCCAAAGGCTTTGGGAATTAGCTAGGGCCATAGCCTCCCAGAATCCACTGGCACCACAGTCCATGTTCTATCTTTCATTTTGTTTTTAAATTCAGCAATGAAGAAAATATTCCATATGCATTAGCAGCTTCTACTGAGAGAGCCATAAATCTTTCTAGACCAGCGTGTTTAAGTTTAATTAAATACCAGATCTAATGCTAAATAGATCTCCTTTGCATTTTCCTTGTACTTCTGCAGAGTTGAGTATTGCTGGTGGGACCTGTCAGTAGTCAGGGAAGACGACCTGGTGAGATGTGTCAGTCAGGAGAAGGGGCAGCTCCAGAGGCCCGCTTGTCTTCTTTCCTCCAAGCAGTAATGAGTCCCCATGGAAACATGCAGGGAAATTATGGTTACTTTCATCTCCTTTTTTACCTGTAGAGCAAATTTACAATGTCCCTCTACAGATGCTCCTGGACTTAGGAGGGGGCTGTGTCCCAATAAAGCCATAGTATATTCAAAATATCATTAGTTGAAATGCATTCAGTACTTGATAAACCCATCGTAAAAGTGAAAAAATCGTAAGTTGAACCATTGTTAAGTCCAGATGCTCCTTGACTTAATGATGCAGTTATATCTGGATAAATCTGTTGTTAATTCAAAAAATGTCAAGTTGAAAAGTGTTAAGTTGAACCGTCTTAAGTCAGGAACCATCTGTATGGTGATAGCTTAGAATAAGTAGTTTGTGCTGCTCATCTTATCTAAGGTTTTAAAAGCTACTTAGTGATGTTTTCATTTGTTGGCCAGTGATCTTAGTGTTGTAGAAATTGACTCTTTTCTTGTTTTATAAATAAGTTATCTGAAACCTAAAGATTTAAAGTGGTTGTGTTGTCTAAAACCTACTGGCCTTCTTACTACCCCCAGAGCTCTTTGCAAGAGGCTGTCTAGCTGCATTTTCACTACTGAGAAACTGTGTAAGTAGTTCAGAGCATGGGCTCTGGGCTCAGACTGCCTAGGTTCAAGTCTTAGCGCTGCCAGTTATTAGCTGTGTGACTTTGGGGAGGTCACTGAACCTCATTTTTTGCCTTTGGAAGTGGAATTATTTATTTAGTAAGTGATAATTAAATGAATGAACAAGTATGAATAAGTAGTCCACTTACAAAGCCCTCACCCTGCCAGTATGATCAAGGACTTTGTGTTTTTGTCTGTTTTTCGTTTTGTTTTGTTTTTTTCTTTCCCTCCCAATTACCTTGCTGTAAAATTCACAGACACGCCATTCTACCTTCGGTCCTTGAGTGTTGCTATCATCTATAAAATGGTAAAATTTAAGATGATCACTTGTCAGAAATTTCTGAACTATTACATGAAAAGGATCATAACTTTGAAGAGTAGCATCGTCTGAGAGACAGAAACAAATTGCCTCTTTAGGAATGTACTTCCCAGTGGTTGCCTTCGTGAATCAGTTCTTCTGGTTAATAAAATATGTCCTCATTAGAAACTGTGTTTGCAGAGACACATTAACCCTTTCAGGTTATCAGGGTAGCAATAAATGATCAGCCAAATTCCAGGCCTGTCTGCTGATGCTCTACCACTGCTTTGGTTTTTTTCTACTTCTTAAAAGTAATGGCAAAATACATCTAGTATAAGGTGAATTTTACCAGCTTAACTGTTTTATGTGTGCACTTCAGTAGTAGTATATACATTCTTATATTGTGCAGCCATCACCACCATCTGTTCCCAGAACTGTTCATTACTACTGCTTTTTAGTTTCAGTTACTAGGGTTTCAAACTCTGTTCAGCCCACATTTAGTTGAAACCTGAATGGATGTGGTAAGTGTGAAGAGAACCTGTTCCCCCAGCCTTTTAGGTTGGTTTGATATTAGTCTGAGTCTCTTCTCTGGAAGTTTGGGTGGAGCATCAGATACAGCCAGGTTGGAGCTGGCTGCCACCCACACTCCTGTGCTCCAGATTTTAGGTAACCCTGAACTTCAGGGGAGAAGTGCATCTTTAGGGATGAGGACCAGTTCAACCATTCCAGGGCTGTTAGGAATTAAGTGCATATTGTGCTGTTCTTGACATAAATAAAAAAGGAATCTATTAAATGGCAATCATGAAATCACTTCTGCTCTTGGGTGATATGATGTGATCTAATTACTAGTGTAGGCTTATCAGTGGTCTGTTTTGGTAGTTTCAGAGCCTGCCTGCTGCCTTGCTCTGGGGTGAGATGGGGGTCATAGTGTTATGGTGAACGTAGTTGTCATTGTCCCACAGGGTTGGCATAGCTTCCAAGGTGATTGACGGTGTAGAAGAATTTGACACAATGGGCAGGCAGCTTATCTTCTTATAAGGTTTTTAAATTTAAAGACTCCAGTTTTTTAAAATGCCCCTGGTAAACATGTAAGCATCATTTACTGAACAGCAAAGCCAGCCTTTTGCTTTCATGGAGTTTTATTCCAGGTTTGTGTTTGCTTGAGTTAGCTTCTATTTCCCCAAAATACAAACTTTAAAAATATGAGTATTTAAAGGTTTGACTTAGTAATAAAATTATATTTTAAAAGTGAATGTCGATTTTTTTCTCAATTTGGAGGTCAGTTTGAAATTACTTGTTAGTGCTTCCCAAGGCATTGTTGGCAGGTGGTGCGGCTTGATCTCTGCCCCCAATTGTTCTCACAGAGGTTTGCCTTTTTCCTCAGGTGACCTTATATCCAGCTGTGAAAAGTCTGCTGCAGGAGGGCATTTACCTCATCCTGGACCTCTGCATCGAGCCTGACGTCCAGTTCCTGCGGGCCTCGCTGCAGCCGGGAATGAGAGACATCTTTAAGGAGCTCTATAATGACTATCTCAAGTACCACAAGGCCAAACATGAAGGAGAGAAAAGATATACGGCCTAAGGCTATGGGACAGAAGTGCCGCCAGTGACACTGTCCAGAGGCTTTGGCTGCATGGTCTGAAAGAGCTGGAGAATGAAAGACTTAAGATGTTCTAATTCGTAGTATTGGTATACATAGAAAATCCTTTGGGGTTTATGTAGTATATTTTGATGTATTTTACATCGTGTTTTTCTTACTATTTTTTAATACATAGTTTTATGCAGTAAGTATTGCAATAGAATCCTGAAAATTGACCCTGGGATGAGATTAATTCAATAGAAAAATTGCTGACTCTTGGGACCTTTCTGTGTTTGGTTCTCGTCTTGGCTCAGTGGTTTGGTGTTCCCTCGTCTGCACTGGAAACTACATAAAACTTGGCTTTTTACTTTGGGTACATGGGCGTATAATTCAGCCCTGTTTAAATATACTTGCCTTTCAAATTCTTCAAGTAACATGGGAAGTATTCTTGAAATGTCACATTTTCTGCCTTCCCTCTAAGTATGCTTTCTGAAGAAGTCAGGGAAAGTTAGAGTCTGTGGCCTGAGGTGTCTGCTCTGGGTGGCGATAGTGGGCACCTCAGGCAGGTCGGTGACGTTTAGCACAGGTGCCAGGGCTCCTGCCTGCTCCTCCTGTGTTAGCTCTGTGAAGTTCATTTAGGAATTTTTTTTTCCTATGCAGTTTAAGAAATAATCCTAATTGTTTTTTCTTATTACCTAAGCAATATATTTTTATTATAGCAACCTCAGAAAAGAAAAATAAAAGGATAATTTAAAAAACTCATTCATAGTCTCAGTTACCCAGATAACCTCGGTTGTCACCTTGGAGTATCTTGTTGTAGTCCCTTTACTATGTGTATGTATATAGATGTGCATATAAATATATATAGTAGCTAAATTGGATCATAAATGCATTTTTTTAAAGTTACCTTTTTTCCTGTGTAATATTTTAAGTAACTCTGGGTCAGTGAAAACATTCGACATATATTTTTTTTGGCTGCATAGTAGTCCATTGAGTAGATATTGTTGTTTTATTTAATAAGTACACCATGGTTAGACATAGGTATCTGTCCAAATTCCCTTTTATAGATGGTGCTTGCAGCTGAATTATTTTCAGAAGATGAATTCTCATGAGTTGTATTATTTGTCAGAAAACCACATCATTTTTAAAGGATTTATATAAATATTGCCAAATTGCCCCCTAGAATATTACTAATTTATTTTCCTACTAGTGAGTCAACTTTAATATTATTGATTTTTGTTTCTTTATGCTTCCTTGATAGGAGAGAGATGTTATTCTGTTTTGAATTTCTTTAATTACTAAGAGATTATACATTTTTCACATTTACCATTTTTATTTCTTATGTAAATTATGTTTATATAATTATCTTTCTTCTGTAATAGCACATTTCTCAATTGGGATATTTACCATTTTTCTTATTCACTGTCTTTGGGGGAATCATGTTGGAATTCCCTTTTTAATTAGTTCAAAATGCAGACTTTTGAAGTTATTTGAAGGATCATCCTTAAGCAAAGGCTTTTTTTTTTTAACACTGTATTTTCAAGCAGATGTGATTGGAGCAGACAATATAAAATGAATGTCTTTGATACCTAAGAGAAATGGCCCTTGTTTTACGCCCCACATTTGATTTTATTTCCTGTGCTATCTTGTGGGGGCTGGGGGACAGTCCTGCCTTACGCACTGCACATGTCATCTGTTCCCTTCCCTTCCTCATCTAGACTGTGTGTGCAGAGGGCCTTTCGAAGCTCTGGCCACCAGAAATGTCTTCGGCTGGTCTGGCATCCTTTCGCTTAATGCTTTGTGTTGACAGAATTTTGTTTCTGTAGTAAACTCCCTGCAGGAGCCTCGAAGAGAGTCTGGTGGCGCCATTTCTTGTTCACAATTGGAGATGGGTGTTGGTGTGAGCGGGCGACCTTTCAAGGACACGAGCTGTAAACAAGCGGGAGCTAAAACACGGTCTTAGGTTTGCCTCTGGTTCAAGTGCCCAGACCGGAAGCTAACTGTCTCCAAGGCCTTCATGGAGCCATGGCTAGTTTTTCCTGTGCTGAAAGTTCTGAAGGCCAGAGGTGAGGGGACCATCCTTTCCCCCTGCCTTGGGAATGCTGGGTGAGCTGACGAACGTGGAGCAGTTCATCAGGCGTCCTGGTGGTGGCACTGCAGGGCCTTTCGAAGGGAGTTGGCAGCGGCTGCCAGGTAGTCAGCCTTGAAGGAAGGGAAGGACGAAGAGAAGGCTGGGACTCCACCTCCTCCCTGCACAGCTCTGAAGGGCTCTCTGCTGTGTTCCCATTTCTGGGGAAGCAGTCACAGGTTCCTCACAGTCATTTCTATTTGAACTCTAAACGCTCCTCAGCAAAGAATTTGTTTTAACTCCATTTTGCTGATTCATAGGGTAGAAGAAACATGTTTCTGGCTGGCAAATATGGAGGCTCTGTTGTTCATTTTTATCCTGTTAGAATAGACCTCACAAGCAAAGAGAGTTGGCCCAGCCAGCTCTCCACATGGCAGAGTTGGGGACTCAGCTTGGGGAACGGCAAAATGCTGGGCTTCAGAGAGACTGTCCCCACTGGACTTGCTGTGGCTCCAGACCCCCATCACCTGACAGATGTGCATGAATCACCTGTCTGTACCAGGCACGGAGACATGGCCCTGGTCCTCAGGGAGCTTTCTAGTAGAGGACATTGACAATGAGCCAGGAAACAAATAGGCCAGGGGGTGATCGCGGGGTTGGCAGCAAAGCAGACAAGTTCAGTGGCTGGAGAAAGAGGTGATATTTGAACTGAGACCTGCCTGGGTGGTGAGAGGCGCCCCTGGAAGGGCCTGGGGTGCTGATCCTTAATGCCTGCACTGAATCCATGTGGCAGCCTGGTTTTGGCTGAGGGCGGACACCTGAAGGGAGGGGTGGGCGTAAGGGGAGTTGGGTGAGAGAAGGCTCAGCGGGGTGACTTTGCCTGGGATGTTGCCTTGGGCGGTCCTGGACAGTAGTACATCAGGGGGCCCCCAATGGCACAGACAACACACAGCCCCGTTCTCGACCTTGCCCTGCTTGTGGACCACAGTGGGTGGGTCTCCTTCACAGCCTGTCTTCTGCAGCTTCCCGGACTCAGCCTCCTACAGTAGCTGTGGAAACTGCCCAATGTTAAGGAGTGATGTGAAGTCTCCAGAAAAAAAGACAGCAAAGAGGGGGTGTCTACTTGAAGGGATTTGGGGGAGTTTTTTTTTTTTTCGGTTTCTCTTTTTCATTTTTCTTTGGAGACAGGGTCTCGCTCTATTGCCTAGGCTGGAGTGCAGTGGTGCAATCCTAGCTCACTGCACCCTCCAACTCCTGGGCTCAAGCGATCCTCTTGTCTCAGCTTCCCAAGTAGTTGGGACTACAGGTGCACACCACCACAACCAGCTAATTTTTAAGTTTTTAGTAGAGATAGTCTCACTATGTTGCCCAGGCTGGTCTGGGACTCCTGGCCTCAAGCAGTCCTCCCTTCCTTGGCCTCCCAAAGTGCTGGGATTACAGGTGTTAGCCCCCGCACCTGGCCCTGGTTTCTCATAACTCATAGAGGTAACTTTGATTTATTGCCGGCATGCCAGGCTATAGCCTGAATTCTTTTGTCTAATAAGCTCATACGTTTCTGCTTTATGTCTCATAAAAGCCGCTGTAGAGGCAGCAGCAGTGTCGTTTTTGATTCCTCATTCCCTTGTGCAACTTCTGAACACTCTCCTTTTTTTTTAAATTTTACTTTGTCGTTTACCTTTTCCATCTCTTCCAGCAGACAAGTTCAGTGGCTGGAGGGAGAGGTGATATTCACCCTTTCCCCCTCAGCCTGTATGTCTCTCGTGTCTCTCTAATGGATGTTACTTCTGTTGCCCTGTGCTTTCTTGTCCCCACGTCCTTCCAACACCATTCTGCCATCCCCACTCACTGACTTCTCTGCCCTCCCTCCCTGGTGTGTCTGGGCCACCTCTCTCAATCACTCCTGCTTGCTGGTGACCTCTCTTCTTTCCCAGTCTTCCCTCTTGTTTCCTGCTGATATTTTTTGTAGCCTCATGTCCACACTGGGGACCCTTCTGAAATGTCCTGACCCCACATTCCCAGGACTGCCACCCCTGCCCATCTGCCATCGCTGATGTGAGAACTCACACTTGAGCCTCCTTGTTGGACTCTTCTTGGCTTCCCTTGCTCCTTTTTTTTAAGAGGCTGGAGTACAGTGGTGTGATCCTAGCTCACTGCAGCCTCCAACTCCTGGGCTGAAGTGCTCCTCCCATGTCAGCCTCCCAAGTAGCTAGGACTACAGGTGCATGCCACCACGCCTCGCTAATCTTTTTTAAGTAGAGATGGGATTTCGCTCTTGCCCTGGCTGGAATTGAACTCCTGGGCTCAGGTGATCCTCTTGCCTTGGCCTCCAAAGTGCTGGGATTACAGGTGTAAGCCACCGTGCCTGGCCCAATGAGCCTGTTTGTAATGTCCTTTCTTTGGCCTGCCCTGTTGTCCCTCTACCCAGCTTGTTCCCCGTTGCCACCATGACCACTGTGCCTCACTGGCATCCCTAGGTCTGTCACCTCCTTCCTCGTCTTTGGAGTTCCCTGATTGTCCTGCCCTACCCTTAACTCCAGAGCCAGCTCTGTTGAGGGAGAAAGGAATGGAGTCATGGGGATTGATTCTCTACAAAATCCTGTTCTCTCTCTTCTGCTGGGGTCACCTATTGGGAGGAAGATCTCTTTTTTCATCAGAGGGAGAAACATCCATGAGGCAGCATAGCTTTGGGATGTTAGGAGCTTGTGGAGACTGGATTGTTACAATGGTTTTAATGTGAAGTTCTGGTTGATCGTAGAACATAAATATTTGGATGAGAGGAAGGAAGAGGTTTGTGAAATGCTCCAGAAAGAACACAACTAGTAGTAGTGGGAGTGGTTTTTCATTACAAAGGAGGATTGAGGGGATGTGACTCAGTAGACCAGGCTCAACGGAGGTGAAAGTGTGCTGGGGCCTGGGGCGAGAAACACACTCAGAAAAATGAGGCCACGGGAAATCCCAGCAGTAACGCCTGGCCGGCTGCCAAGGTGGTGATAAAGAAGCACCCACAGAAACACAAATCAGTGCACGGCCCTGCGTCTTCCTGTACCTTAATGTCATGCTAGAGGGCATGGCCAACTGTTTCCCAACTATGGCCATTTCAAAGACTCAGAATGGCTGTTCTTGTGGGGACAGATGTGGGTGCCGGTGCCATTCAGTGTCTGGTATTCTCTGACTTGGCATGCAGCCTGCACTGGTATTTTCTCTAAGCCCTCTTTGAGCTTTATAACAGATTAAATCAGGCACACAATCTCTTCCCATCTAACCATAGCCCTCTGTCTCTCGAGTCTCTGCTATCACTTTCCCTGCTGTTTATAGACACACACAGAATACTCTTAATTTATCTTCAGTCTCGATCCTGTTATCCTCTCACATTTCCATCAGCCTTTTCTCTTGACTACCCAACAATTATAAGGAGTCTACCTTTGCTCCTTGGTCATCCTTCCCATCAAAACTGCCCTCTGAAAGACACCTGGCTTCACGAATGTGTGGTAGGTCCTTGACCATCGCTGGACACCCTTGGCTGGTCGGACCCCCCGCTGGCTCTCTGCATCCTCTAGGGCCTCGACTATCTCTGATGCTCTTGGTTACCTTTTTCTCTCCCTTCCCCTAAAATACTGGTGTCCTCAAGGATTAATCCTTGACAATTCTCTCTAGACCTTCTAACTTTCCTGACCTTCCACTCCCTGATGTCACCATTGCCTCTGGGCAAGTCCTTTTCAAACTTGCCAATTTCTGCTCATTGAATTGAGTTGAAAATCTGGAAGACATAACCAATTCCTCACTCTCCTTCAGTCCCAGCTCTCACTAGCATCTTCCCTCTTTTCTCTTACTGCCTGTGGTCACTCATCCTAGAGATTGTTTCTAAATAGTCCTAGTGGTTGTCCCTCCATCTTCCTTCAAACCTCCAAAGAGTCTCCTTTCAAAAAACAAATTTCTTTTTTTTTTTTTTTTTGAGACAGGGTCTTGCTCTGTTGCCCAGGATGGGTTACAGTGGCATGATCTTGGCTCACTGCAGCCTCTGCCTCCCAGGTTCAAGCGATTCTCCCACCTCAGCCTCCTGAGTAGCTGGAACTATAGGTGCGTGCCACCATGCTTGGCTAATTTTTATATTTTTTTGGTAGAGACGGGGTTTCACCATGGTGGCCAGGCTGGTCTTGAACTCCTGACCTCAGGTGATCCACCATCCTTGGACTCCCAAAGTGCTGGGATTACAGGCATGAGCCACCACGCCTGGCCTTATGATGACTTTTGGAAACTCCATCTAAAATCCCACCCACCTGCCTTGACCATCCTGTCCCCTTTTTCCCTGCTTCATTACTTTTTCCTCAGTATGTGTTGCTCTCCAATTTACTAGGTGTTTTGCTTATGCATGTTGTCTGGTGTCTTTTTTCCCAGTAGAAGTTAAACTCCGCATATGCAGGGATCCTGTTTGTGCTACTCACAGCTTGAGTATGGACCCGAAATGGGCACCTGGCACATAGTAGGTGCTCAATTAATACTTGTTGGATGAAGAATGCCCTGGGAATACTGGTCTTCCAGCAGAGTAGAACAATTTGAAAACTGCGCTCCACCCGCCTGTCTCCATAAATGTCAATGAATGCGTCTTTGTAGAATAAATATTTGAATTAAATTTTCCATGCACTATGTGTGGCTGCGTGGCCTGACTGTACAGAGGCTGCAGTTTACCACAGCAAAGTGTTGCTGATGCTTCCTATTACAATGCGTCATTGTTTCACTAAACACCCACAGCTTAGGTTTTCAGAAAATCTGGAAATGTGACATTAGCTTCCTGATTGTCTCAATTTCCAGATGCATTCATCCCTAATCCAGCAAATGTCAGGAGGGCTGCTTTATACTCTGGGGGCTGAGGTTTTCAGCACCTGTTTGCCACACACCTAGTTCTGATTGTCATTGGGATTGGAGATACAGGCAGAAGACAGCTCTGCCAGATTCGACTTTCTGATGAGGCTCCTGTGACATGTACTGCTGCTGGCGCTGGCTTGTGGTGCTGGAAGTGCAGGGTCTGGTGGCTCCCTTTGCAATGGGAAGTTTCAGAGGAGCTGGGCTGGTGAAAAGCAGCTGTTCATCCACAGCACATCTGCATGGAGCAAGGGCACTGGGGAGACTTAAATGTCCACTTCTGGGATTCTCTGGGTGGCATTTGGATGCCACTTTTGATGGACAGGTTGTCAGAATGATAGCATGAACGTCCACGGCTGGTGCCTTACGCGTGCATGCAGCAATTGCTAGTGGTTTCCTCCAGCTTCTTGAACGCATATTCATCACAGATGGGGCATCAGTCTGAGGGATTCTTCTTCCCTCCTTAGAAGACAATGGGGAGAACTGCCAAGGTTCCTTTCAAGGTCTCCAAAAGGGCAAATGTTTCTGTCTTTGGAATACTCACTTTGGAATGCTTTATGGGAAACTGTCCAAATCCCAGGTGGTATTTTCTTTTGCTGTGTGGTGGGAGCAGGTGCAGTGATTCAGATGGCTGCATGCATTGGACAGACACCTGCAGCAGGGCAGACAGAGCTGTGAGCTGGGGAAATAAATAGCTGTTCTTGCCTGTGGGCTTCTGGAGTACGCAGGGTTTTGTAATTAACCTTTTGTTTATCTTATAGAGCAATTTTGTTGCTTCTTGCTAAGATGCAAAGGACTTTTTGTGAAAAGACTATATAAGCAGAGATTAGGAGATGGCTGCTCAAAACCCAGAGAGTGGTGGGGGTGAAATACCCTCTCTCATCTCGGAATCCGTTTTAAATCTTCATCTAGTTCTTCAGTAATCTGACGGCTGCCTCACTCTGGCTAGGCTTGGGCTTCTGGTAAGTGAGTGAAGGCTGCACTCTGCTGTGTTGAGCTCCCTTCTCCATGCTCAATTCTTGAGTACCCTCAGAATCAGAGAGCTGGGGTGTGTCCAGGAGTAAGAAAAAGCTAACATGCTTCTGCTCAGGAACTGTAACTTCTACCTTTCTCCTCAAGGCTGAGGTTTTTAAACTGGCCTTCAGGGGAGCCACAAACCCGCTGAGAACCCGTACCAGTTTCTGCTTGTATGTGCACTTTTCTGGGTGGGCCCATGGCTTCCATTGATTCTACCTTAGTGCAGGCTTCCAGAAAGCAAAGTAAGAGATGGAGGACACAGGTGCTATTACTTTATTATGGAGTTCAATCTCAGCAGGAGCGAGGGACGTGGGGCACCAAGCATAGAAAGAGCTAATAGGAGGGCATGTTCTACCCCTGCCCTGTGAGCTGCACCTGCATTGTCTGGGCATCTGGTGGGGGAGTGGGGAGGAGGCCTCTGTCAATAGAAGAACTGGGGCCGGAGGTTTGGTGCAGTCAGGTTGTGTCTGTAGGAGGTCAAAATCCACACAGCTGGAATGAGAGACAGGTGAGGTCCAGAGGCTCTGCAGTGGGGCAAAGAGGTATCTGATGCAGATTCTCCAACTACCTGCTTAACTTCAAGTCTGCTTCATACAGTTGTATGGTTTGTGCACTGCCCAAAGATTCCTGGCTGAGGGAACAAGTTGGGACCAGAATCTGACCTGAGCTCTCTTTACAGAGTCTTGTACCTTTGTCCACCCAGAGCAGGTGCCTTTTCCAAATTAGCTCAGGGGGAGCTCTCTTCACCTGGTTTTCCAAAGTGACCAGTCAGGGGTAGGTTGCCCCGTGTATTAGTCCATTTTCATGCTGCTGATAAAGATGTACCTGAGACTGGGTAATTTATAAAGAAAAAGAGGTTTAATGGACTCACAGATCCATGTGGCTGGGGAGGCCTCACAATCATGGCAGAAGGCAAAAGTCACATCTTACATGGTGGCAGACGAGAGAAAATGAACACCAAGCAAAAGTATGTTCCCTTTATAAAATCATCAGATCTCGTGAGACTTATTCACTACCACAAGAACAGTATGGGGAAAACCACCTCCATGATTCAGTTGTCTCCCACTGGGTCCCACCCACAACACGTGGAAATTATGGGAACTACAATTCAAGATGAGATTTGAGTGGGGACACAGCCAAACTATATCACCCCGTCCAGCCTCCTTTTCCTTAGCTCCCTTCACATTCTAGTTTCTGCCTGAGCCATCAGGCCCTGTGGCCCAGACCAGGCATCTTGAACTATATCCCAGACCCTCCTCATGAACAGAATCACTGCTCAAAAGTCCTCCTTTTTTCACCTGCCCTGTGCTCTAGTCTAGATTCTGATTTCTTGTGGTGAGTTGGTGTTGCCTTGGATTTCTTGTGCCTGCTCAGATCTGTGGATTTGGCCCTAGGTCCTTTTTCTTTCTTCCTGTTGGCCTCCTCAGCTCCCTCCCTCCTTTCTGCCAGGTATTCCCTGCAGGCCTCAGCGTCAGGGCTACCTCTATTGACAGGGGATCCTTGGGCGTTCGGGCCATAGTTTTTCTTTGGTGAATAAATATGTATGGCTTACAAAACATGTGTTTCTAAATTTATGAAATTATATGTATGTTTATACATTCATTCGTGCTTTCATTTAGCCAACATTTATTAAGTTTTTTACATAGCAGAAACCACTTCATAACTGTGAGACTCTGGATAAATCACTTAAGTTTCCTGAGTGTCATTTTCTTCTCTGTGAAATGGAGGTAA